>NC_000001.11:54250804-54402319 GCF_000001405.40 Homo sapiens | reverse complement strand
TTGCGTTCATCCTCCTAGGGCATCCATGAGTAGGTTCTACTAACCCCTTGGAGCTTCAGTTGCCCCCTGTGTAAAGTGGAGAGAAAATTGCCTACCTTACAGTATATGGTAGACACAAGTAATACGGGTGTGAAGCATCCGGCATGTAGTAGGTATTTGATATATAAGAACTATTACTGCCATTACTAATGGCTGGCTTGCCAGAAGAAGTTGGACGTGTTTTGTTTTCTAGGCTGTTTGCCCAATGAGAGCTGATAAGGTGGGATTGAGCCTTTGGGAGACCTAGTACTGTTAGCGCCATGCATCGTGCACTTGCCCTTGTGTACACAAGTAATAATTAGTAACCTGACCTTATTTTATTTTCCTCCTCGCAGTGTATTTTGGGACCTTTACTGTGCAGCTCCTGAAAGGAGAGACACTTGTGAACATTCAAGTGAAGCAAAAGCCTTTCATGATTATGTGAGTAACATATTTTTAATCCTAGCAATAATTATAGGGTTGGATAGCTCTAACTTCTCTAGTACGAAAAGCAAACACAGCCAGTTCGCAGTGGTCTTTATTTGCTTCTTGCGTTTCTTTCTGTTCCCCTGCCCACCTCTCTGCAGCCCTCCCAATGGTACCTTTCTCCAGCAGTGTTCTAACTTGGTGAACGGTGTTTCATAATGTTGTAATTGTGCAAAATTGTGTAGATATCTATCCGGAGAATTAAATGGTGTTGTACAGGACTCAGAACTGTGAGACTTATGTTAAGAGTGGACAGTTAGCTGAGAGGGGACTAAGCCTCTTTAGTGTTGGTTTAAGAAGAAATTGTAACAAACAAAAGCCAATAGGAAACTTGCGTTTTGGAGTTGAGTGAGAATTTGGTGGAATGGACTCTCTTGCTCTACTTTCCAGAGAGCGATCTTTCAAATTATGGGTGTGTGTGTGTGTGTGTGTGTGTGTTTGGTGTGGGTGGGCTCATACTGTATCTGCTAAGACGATTTGTACTCTGAGATCCTCAGCTAGTTCATAATCTTGTGGCCAAAATATTCTTGTGAAGCTAGTTAACATCAGATTGTAGTTCTTTCTACCCTGTTACTCACTTTCTACCTGGATGAGTTTCTTAAGATTTATGAAATTATTACGAGAGGGTTGTCTGCCATCTATTCATCTCCCATAGCAGTCCCCTTCAGGAAAAACAAACATGGGTTTCAAACCTGGGTTGCAGTCACACTTGATGATCTGATGAAATGGGTTAGGATCTGTCTTGGGGAGATGGAAGAGGACGTGTCTGAAGGTCTTCCATAGCCTCTGTTCAGTTCTTCTTGCTAGCCCTGTAGACAGTTAAGCATGTCCATATAGCAGGTGATCTAATGGTCTTGCTCTTCTGTGTGCAGTGGGTAGGAATGATCCTGGGAAACCATGGGTCCTTGGGAGTTGGTTTCTTGAACGTCATTGGGTCCCACCTGCTTGGCCCAGCCATCTGAGTTCCCTGCATGTGGAGGTGGAAATTGGCTAAGAGACCAGACCCATCTGGTTATTTCACAAGTGGTCAAATCCCATGATCACCAATGTCTTCATGGTGAAAATTTCTCCTGTAATGTGAGGAGTTAGAGACTCAGGTGGTGGCCTACTGGTTTTGAGAATATTCAATGTGATGCAGTTTTGTTGTGAATGAAAAGTTAATGCTCTTGGAATGTAACGCTGAGGAAATTGAGCAGTTCTTGTTCCCTCTTCAGGGCTGAAAAAGAGAAGCTGATGAATGGTACTTCTGGTCTGGTAAACTTGCATGGTAGTGAAAGGGAGAGGTCACCACCGGTTCACTTATGATGTGGTTCTTCTGGGAAAATCCCATGGTGATGATAAGGTTTCCTGACCTGGATGTTCAGGGAGGCTAAGAGGTACACAGCCATATAAAAATAGTTGATGAATTTGACCTTTCTACCTAGTAAAAATCTTGCATGGTTTTTTTCCTAAACCTGTGAACAGCCAACACTGTTGCTAGTTTTTGACTGCTATGTAAATAGTTTCATTTTAGAATCTGGGGATGGGTGGGTGGGTCTTTCACTCTCTTGATGTAGCATATCTATGCTATTTTTTGCCTGTACCTTTCAGAGAAGTTAATGATTTTAACCAAGTTCGGTGCTCTACAAATTTGAGAGTCTTTGGCAACTTGTGGTGTCGTCTTCCATCCTGAAACAATATGGCGGCCATGAAAGTTTGCACATGGGTTTGCTTTCAGTAATTTGCTGAGGAATGGCAGTAGAAATGTATAGAGATCACTGAGGTTGGCGTTGACATTTAGAAGATGCTACTAAGAGATGAGGTCACCCTAATTGAGGCCTACACTTCATATGTGTGGGGTGTAAAAACCTTTTTTTTTGAATTGGGCTCCACCTGGTATCATGTGGCCTGAGAGTCAGAGCCTGTGGGAGGAGGGATGGAGTGATGAATGGGGATTATGAAGGCGTTAAGGGGTAGCATTGAGTTGGAGGGGTGACAGCAGAGAAGCAAGTGGAAAACTAAGAAGAACTTCAGAAAATTAGGAAAAGGAGCCCACTTTTCTTTTTGTCTTTCTCCAGTCTTCATCTAGTCTCTCCCTTCTTGTGGCTACAGTCTAGTTAACCTTCATTCCTTCTTGCTAGAATGATTGCAGTAGCTTCTTGCTGACTCCTTCCTCTTGCCTGGAATGCATTCCTCTCTTACCCATTCAAATCCTATTCATCTTTTAAGACCTCCTTCTTGGAGGACTTATGAGATAGTTTTCTGCATTCTGTGATCACGCCTTCATCTCCATATCTATAAAAACCACCTATACAAAGCCTCTGTTGGCAGCTTTCCGTGTGCCAGGCCACTCTGCTAACTGCTGTAGGTTCAGTCCCTCATATCCTGCCAGAGACCCGATGAGAGAAGGCTTGTTGTTCACTCCATTTTGCAGATGAAGCAGCTGAGGCACACAGTGGTTAATTCCCAGCTGGGAAGTGGTAGTTAGAATGCACACACATGGAGTCATGACTGACTCTGGAATGGGTGTTTCTAACACCACCTGGCTTGGCCCTGCAGGCCCATGGCAAGTACCATTTGTTGGCACTATTCCACCTAACTTCTCACTTAGGGTTGTCTTTCGGGCGACAGCCTATTAATTTTTTCCATGGTGGAGACCGTGAACTATTCATCTCTGTAGCTCCCACAGTACCTTCCATGTAGCAGGCACACGTGCTGATTGTATGAAGGAGTTAGGTAAGAATGAGTAAGTCACTTGCGGGTGAGTGAGTCTTGAATGGTGTTCTTTTAGAGACATAATTGTTGCGGGTGCTCTCGAACAAGGTGATTTTGAAGTCAATTAACTAGTTGCCTTAACTACTTTTTAGAAAATCAAGTAGAGTGTAAATAAGTGTCTGTTGACTGACCTTCTGTTTTCTATCAAGGAGATCCAAAGATTCTCAGGGTGTGGGGAGTTTGTGCAGCCTGGATACCAGACCCATCTTCGGTGGGTAGGAAGTGCTTACAGGGGCAACGGGAGCATTGGGGGAACTCACATCTGGAGTGGACTTTTCTGATAAATTGGTTTGCATTAAATCAGAAGAGGTCCCCCGGGTCATGGGAGGAGGGTCACGGGAGGAGGGTCACGGTCCCATTGTAATTTCCTTGCTGTTACCCTCAGGCCAGAGCAGTGCATCTCAGAGTGTTGACAAAAGCCCATGGGATCCCATTGGGGCATCTCTTTGGGTTCTCTTAGACACTGTTGTCTGGGTCCTGACCTTTTGTAGAGTGGACACTTTCAGCTGCATGAGTGTCTCTAACTGTGTGCCCAGAGGTGTCCTGGCCACCTTCTCCGCTTTGACTTTCTCCAGGGTGGACCTGCAGGGAAGTGTCTTTGGTGCCTTCTCAAACAACAAGCAATCCTTTTTCTCCATGTGGTAGCTAATTTTGTGTTTTCCTTTTGATGTCAAGAAATGAGTGGAATTTGGAAGGCCAAGAAATGAGTGGCCTTTGAGCCAAAGAGACTAGAGAATAGCAATGGATTCTTACACTACACATACCTGCTGTACTTTTTTATAACATGTTTTCATGTGTGTGATTGTGGCTGGGCTTTGCAGCTGCCTCGTCGGTTGGGTTTTGTTACAAAATCTCACTCCCATTTTACAGATGAGGAAACTGAACCCTAGAGTTTAGGTGGCTTGTCCAAGGGCAGGCAGCCAGGTGTTGGCAGAGCTGAGACTAGAAATCCTCTATCTTTCTAGTTCTGCCTCTCAGCTTTTATTGACACTTACTTGATAAAGAATCCCTGCAAAACAGAGGGGAGGTATTTGCAGTTGACCTGAAGCATACCTGGCACCGGGTATGCTGGTTGGTGCCCCCCGACATGTTCACTGAAGAAATGAACTTAACAGAATTGAACGGAAGCCCCCGCAAGGTGAATTGTGGAGTCACTGGCAGAGGCGAGACCTGAACTCTGGGAAGGGGGTTTGTTGTGGTGCAACGGCTCTTAACTTTTGGCAGGGAAAATGTGATAAAAGCTATGGACAGTATTTCCAGAAAGCCCTCATAAAGGGGACTTTGTGCATGGTTTCAGGAGGCTCATGGACAGCTGCTCCAACCCCAGGCCTCTCTGATTCCCAGTGAAGAACTTGGGGAGTGAAATGGACATGGAGTTCCATGACCTTGATGAATTTTCCTTGCTTGCCTCAGTTTCCTTTCTCTGAAGACCTGAGTTCCCTTTCATCTTGGCTGTTGTGTGCTCCACCTCAGTGAGGCTGGCTCCCTGGCCCTGTCCTCCCACTCCAGCAAGACTCTGCTCTCCCACCCCAACAAGACTGCTGACTCCTCCCTCAGCAGAGGGGAGACTTTGCCTTGAGGAGGGTTGGTTAAAGTAGGAAAGTGCCCCAGAGTCATGGGCGTGGGCAGGCACTGAGGTATTTGTGGCTGTGTGGCAGGGGTCCAGCGTCCTTGGTGGGTTTGAAATAGCAAAGTGATATTTGAGAGGGCTCTCCTTGGATGTGCTGAGCTGAGGTTCCTGCCAGGCAGGGAGTGTCCATGCCTGCCAGAACCCTTTCGGGGGAGGGGGACAAGAGGGTGGCAGTGCAGGCTGGAATAGGTGGAGAAGGCCTGCAGCTGGGCTGCAAAGAGCTGGGGGAGTGTGCTGCCCTGTGATAAGCCAGGCTAGCTATCTGCCCAGAGGTCCTGGCAAGTTCACGGCGTTGCCTTTGGCTCTGACCCTTGGCACCCTTGTGTGGCAGATTAAAAACACAAAACATACACACTTCTTTTTCCCCTCTCCCCCATTCCCCTTGGAGCATAGGCTTTGGGTTGCAGCCCCTCTTTAAGCTCCCGCCCTGTTTTCTGCAATTCCTCTTAACCCCAGAGGCTGCCAGACTCCTCCATCGGTAGCTAATTAAACATTAAATGAGAAACTGGAGTTGCATTTTGCCAGCACCCGAGCAGTGCAGCCACCTTAATGGGTTTCAAGTGGCGGCAAGACCCCAAATTGCAAATCCTTGCCCTTTATTTCAAGGCGGGAGGTGGGGCGGGGGGAGTGGTGGGGACCCAAACAAAATTTTTGGCAGTGGTCACTTCATTTGAACTCCCAGAGCAGCAGTGTGCACCAGTCTTTCGCATAATGCCATCTTTGTTAGCTAAGCATTTGCAAACTTGGACCAAGAGTTAGCTCTGTGCCAGCCAGCACTCAGAGGGAGCTGGGAGATACCCAGCTCTCCCCACAGTTCCTTAGGTCGTCTCTATTTTGTGAGGGAGGCAGGGTCTCGAGTGGGGAACCCTAGTCAAGGGTGCCTGGCCCCCTTCCCATGACTTCCCTGCCTCTGTATGTGAGTGTGTGTGTGTTTAAGCCTTAACAGGGAGAAGTGGCAGGGAGGTGTGTGTACTTGGGGATCTGTCAGCCAAGATAACAGAAATGTGGCACTAGCTGTAGCCTTTATAATAGTGTCTGAGGGTTTAGAGTATTTAGAAAAATTAATCTTTTTTAGCTTGGTAATAATTCTGACCACGGCACAAGTGCATTAGACTATTCACATAAACTTCTTTAATACATGTTGCTGGGAGCTCTTAGAGCAAATAGACAATCATGACTGTTTGTTTTTGATTCGCTGGGGTAATGGGGTTGTTTTTTTTTTTTTTTTTTTTTTTTTTCTGAGATGGAGTCTCACTCTGTCACCCAGGCTGGAGTGCCATGGCGCGATCTTGGCTCACTGCAGCCTCCGCCTCCCGGGTTCAAGTGATTCTCCTGCCTCAGCCTCCTGAGTAGCTGGGATTACAGGCGCGTGCCACCACACCCAGCTAATTTTTTGTATTTTTAGTAGAGACAGGGTTTCGCCATCTTGGCCAGGCTGGTCTCGAACTCCTGACATTGTGATCTGACTGCCTCAGCCTCCCAAAGTGCTGGGATTGCAGGCGTGAGCCACCGCGCCTGGCCGGTAACGGGGTTTTTTGTAGCCTTGGCAAGGTGAGTTTTAGCAGTGTTTGTGTCTGTGTTGTGTATTTCTTTCCCTGGGTTTTGAATCCTCTGGATTTTAAAGGATTTGGGTTGTGACTGGTGGCTTGGACTCCCATGTGAATTCTAGTCTCCACTTTGTCATTTCTTGGCTGGAAATCGTCAGGGATCCTCATTTCCTGGCCGGGAGCCTCAGTTTTCCCATCTGTAGAATGGGGGAATGCTGATTCCTTTGCATAGTGGTTGTGAGGGTTAAGTAATATAGTACAGTCATCCGTCAATATCCAGGGAGGATTGATTCTAAACCCCCCCACCGCCCGTCCCTGCTGTCATGTCTCACCCCTGCACCCCCTCAAGGGGCAGAGCTGGCAGTCCTGTCACAGACTGGTACTGATAAATGGCGTCTCTGAGATGTCTGTGCACCTTATCTGTATTGGGCAGAATGGTCCTGTCCCACTCCTGCATATGGCCACTGCATGGCTAAATGGTAAGGCCCAGAGGGCATGCAGCTTGGCATCAGTAGGAATCTAGATTTGCATTTCAGCTTCATGTCCTTGTTAGCTGTGGGGGGCCTTCATTTCTCAAGGTCCATCTCTTTACTGTAAAATAGGCTCAAGGGTTGTCCTGGCACAGCCCACCATGGGGACGGCCTTGAGAGAGGCATGGAAAGCTGTCCAGGGAAAGTTGGTTGTGCTGTGAAATCCTGTGTCATTGTTAACAGGGATGAAATGAGGAGTCTTGCACTGTTCTCTTTGGTATGTATCCTGCCCTGGCAGGTGCTCAGACTGTGCCTGATTTTTTTTTATTGTATAAGGGAATCCCCTTTTATTGTATGTGGAAATCCCACAAAGGCGATTCCCACATACAATAAAAAAAAAAAAAGGAGTCTTAGCCGGGCGCGGTGGCTCACGCCTGTAATCCCAGCACTTTGGGAGGCCGAGGCTGGCGGATCACGAGTTCAGGAGATCGAGACCATCCTGGCTAACATGGTGAAACCCCATCTCTATTAAAAATACAAAAAAAATAGCTGGGCATAGTGGCAGGCGCCTGTAGTCCCAGCTACTTGGGAGGCTGAGGCAGGAGAATGGTGTGAACCCAGGAGGCGGAGGTTGCAGTGAGCCGAGATGGCGCCATTGCACTCCAGCATGGGGGACAGAGCCAGACTCCGTCTCAAAAAAAAAAAAAAAAAAAAAAAAAGGAGTCTTAAGGAGACAGTGAGCTTGAGAAGGGAAGTGTCAGCCATGGCAGGTCCATGGGAAGCTGGTTCTGGCCACATTGGCTTCTTTTTCTTTTGACTTCCTGGGGTGACCCTGAGGCCTTGATCAGTCGGCCCCCAGACCAGGAGAATAAGACACTACCGTATTTTGAGGTTACCAAGCTCCTACTATGCTTACTGTCTAGTTGAAGAGACAGATGCAGTCCAGGATGAGATGTGGGCTTAAAAAGAATTGTGTGGAATGATCTTGTTTTTCTAAGAGACCAAGATACAGTCAGTATGGAGTTGGGGGGGCAGTGGGGGGAGGTAAACAGTCCCACCCCTGTGTTGTAACGAAATATATATTTATCATAGATATAAATAGCAGGATTGCAGGTGATGGAACTGGAGGTCACCTAGTGTTCTTTCAAGTAGCTAAAGAAACATGCGCAGAGGGAAAGGTGCCCTGCGTGAAGTTTCCAGTAGAACTCAAACCTGCCTGCAAGCCTAATCAATAGTCCAGGATGCTTTCTTTCCTTTGCCTTGTTGCAGTTACGAGCTGTGCAAACATGGACACCTTAAGTAACCTCTGAGCCTCAACTTCCTCGGGTGGAAAATGGGGTTAATAAAGTATACCAGGCCGGGCGCAGTGGCTAACTCCTGTAATCCCAACACTTTGGGAGGCCGAGGCAGGCGAATCACTTGAGGTCAGGAATTAGAAACCAGCCTGGCCAACATGATGAAACTCTGTCTTTACTAAGAATAGAAAAATTAGCCAGACGTGGTGGTGGGCGCCTGTAGTCCCAGCTACTCTGGAGGCTGAGGCAGGAGAATAGTTTGAACCCGGGAGGTGGAGGTTGCAGTGAGCCAAGGTTGCATCACTGCACTCCAGCCTAGGCAATAGAGCGAGACTCAGTCTCAAAAAAATAAAAAAATAAAGTATGCCTTTATAAGGTCATAAAGATTAAGTTTACACATATACACACAATATATAATAGTGCCTAGCACAGTGCAAGTTCTGCATAAATGTGTGCTGTCATTTTTCTTTTTTAATTTTATTTTTAATGTTTTGTAGAGACGTGGTCTTGCTTTGTTGCCTAGGCTGGTCTTGAATTTCTGGCTTCAAAGGATTCTACTGTCAGGGCCTCTCAAAGTGCTGGGATTATAGGTGTGAGCCACTACACCCGGCCTGTGCTGTCATTTTTCTTACCTCACCTCCGGCCTGGTCTGAGTTCTGGCTTCCTGATGGGCAGTGTTCTCAGTGATTGATAATAAGGGGCCAGCAGAATGACGTTGGGGTGAGAGGTGTGTGCCTGTGAAGCGTGAACCATCATGGGCTAGCTTCCCTGTTGATCAGCTCTCTGGATCCCTGGGTTTCAGGTACCCCTGGGGGATTGTGGGGGCAAGTCACATTATGTTCTCCCTGCCCCAGTGATTGGAGGAGCAAGTCACATATGCCGCTTCCAAACCAGCCCTGGTGCTTGTGAGGATGAGAAAACAGTGGACGCACAGATGCTTCTGGCCTGTGCCTGGCCTGAAGTTGCCCCATCACTGTCCATTTTCTTCTCTCCTAGTGACTTCTCATTTTCTAGGAATCTGGAACAGGTGCTTTCTCCAGCCACTTTGGCCTCTTCACCATGATTCCCGCTTGGTACCATACCACCTGAGAGGGTTTTTTCCTCCCCTGCCAATTATTCTTCTGTAGAGCCAATGCTAGCCTGGAATGTGGCTGCCTCCACCAGGCCTGCCAGGACGACTCCTATGGGAAGACATCCCTCTTCTGTTTTTTCCCCAGGAACTAACTCTGTAACTCTCCTAGTCGTTTGTTACCAGCTGCCTGGAAGGAGAGTTATTTCAGTTAAGGTTGTGTCTCTTCCTTCCCCTTTCTGGAATGAAAGCTCCTTGAGGGGAGGAACTTTACTTGCCCTTTCTGCCACCCCATTCCTGGGGCCTATTGCAGGTCTTGAATGCATTCTGGGGTCTGTGAGCAAGGCTCTGAGCCTTGAGAAGTGAGAAGGATTTGATTCCTGCCCAGGCATCAACTGTGCTAAGTACTCGTTTTAATGAAGATGGACAAGGGGCACGTGGTGAAGCACTGTTTGTAAACTGTGAGCTGTGACCCATTAATACATCATGAAACCAACTTAGTGGGTCATGACTGGTAATTACCAAAAAAGAAACAACCGTATTACACAGAGTAAACACAAATATTGTTTCTGGAAATGTCTGTTTTCAGTGATTTATGTGTGCATATAAAAGTATGTGTGCCCTGGGTTTGTGTTGTAGTATTTGCCTTTTTTGGGGGCTCAACGCAAAGTCAGAAGGCCACTAGCCCAGAGACAGCTGAGACTGAATCTTAGTTCCTACAAGTTAAGTGACTTGGGTCAAGAGACAAGCAATTGCTGAGCCTCAGTTTCCAGATCTGTACTAGAAGGAAATGATCCATACCTTAGAGAGTTCTCGGGAAATTGTTTCCCCACCACATGTTGTGCTTTCAGAGTGGTGCCTGGCGGGCACTTGGTACCGTTGTCTCTGTGGTTTGCTGCCATAGTCTTAGTGCATTGAACACACAGAAAATCCCAACAGATGCTTGTTGAAGGCAGAGTAAGTAACAGCTCCCATTGGAGGGGGTGGGACTGTGGCCTGGACCACTCTGGAGTGGGCGCGGGAGGAGAGGGCCTGAGAGCGCAGGGACACTCTTCTTAATAGCGGAGTCCATGTGGCTCTCTAGGCAAAGCTGGAGGAGTTTGCAGCCTGTCCCTGCTGGCTGGCTGTGGGGCAGCTCCTTCTGCCTGTCTGTGATTGAGGTGGGTGGGTGGAGGGGGTTCCTTGCCCCCCGTGGAGCTTGCGTCTGAACAGGGCTTAGGCAGTGGCAGTAGTGAGAATAGGTCGTAAGGCATCCTGTCTGACCGAGGTTGACCCAGCCTCCCAAATTCCCTGTCCCCTCCTGGTGACAGCTGTTTGCACAGCTTCCAGGGCAGGTTTTGTGTCCCCTGCTCTTTGTGTGTTTGGGTGAAGCGCCTGACATTTCACTTCTGTTTCACAGTCCTCTGACCTTAAGAAGCACAACTGCTCCCTGGGGCCGCTGCCTGAGGTTTTCCTCTGATCCTTCTTTCCCAGTCACAAAAGGCTGTTTGAGAGAGGAGGCAGTGGAGAGGGGGGAGCAGGCCTCTCCCACATTCTGGGATACTGCTGCAGCGCTTTGAGCTCTGAGAGGGGCAGAGCGTAGCTTTATAGACCGGATGGAAATGGCAGATGGTTGGTGGGCAGTTATTGCCCGCTGCCTGCCGGGCTTTGCCATTAGATGCAGTGTTGTGGGCTGTACATGGGATTTGGACTTGGATGACCAAGGTACAAGATCTGATTCTTTCAGATGGCCTTGGGTAAGTTGTCTGGTGTCTGCAAAATGATAGGAAACAGTGGCCGGCTTTTTTCTGCCCCTCCAGCTTTTTGGAAGTTGGGTGAGAGCACGTGAAAATGCTTTGTGAGTTGTGGTCCCCTTTGAGAAGGCTGTTTCAGATGTGCAAGAAGAAGGAGACACTCAGTTTCCAGATGGGGACACTGAGGCTGGTGACACAGCAAGCCTGGGGCCACCACTGACTTGAGAAAACCTCCACCTAAGAG
This sequence comes from Homo sapiens, assembly GCF_000001405.40. NCBI lineage: Eukaryota > Metazoa > Chordata > Mammalia > Primates > Hominidae > Homo > Homo sapiens. The sequence continues at coordinate 54,391,073 of NC_000001.11, read as the reverse complement.
GCTGGCGCCCGTGTCTGTGTCTGTGCCATCCTTTAGGAATTTTGCAGCTTTCTTTGGGAGAGGCTGAGAGCTTCCTGTGGCCTTTGGCCATCCAGCCGGTGCTGAGGGGGCAGATGGCCCAGTGGGCAGGCCTGGTGCCGGGCGTGTGCGCACTGCCGGTCTCTGCTCGCCGGCTTTTAGACGGCTTCCAGTAGAAAATGTTCTCCTCTCTCTGGAGGCTCTTCCTCTTGGCAGCGCTGCCCGCCTGCCGGCCAGATCCCACTCGGAGCCCGCTTGTGTTACGGGCGGCGGCCCTGGCCCGCAGCTCCGGGCAGGGCTCTCCACGATCTCCGCGCTGGTGAGCCGCTTCAAAAGGGGATTTTACAGCATGACAGGGAATTTCAGCCACCACGTTATCTCCGAATTGGCCAATTGATGGTTTCAGCAGAGCATTTCAGCATCGGGGAAGCCAATACAATTTGAGTTAGTTGTGATGGCTGCCACTTTAAATACCGCAGTGAATTTCTGTCAGCGAGCTAATGCGTGGAATAGGGAATTGCAGAAAACTTGATCATCAGAGTGCTTCAGTCGATTCTGACCCCAAGCTACAGAAAATGAACTTAAATCTAGTTGACTGTCGCCACATACTTTCTTTGGTGTTATTTTGCTGGCAGCGTCTTCTTCAGAGAGAGCTGGAAGAGAAGAGACTAGGAGGAAATCAGGATGTTTGCCGCGGGTCCCTGGGATTTTAGAGAGTGACAGTCTTCATGGGAGGTTGACCATTGGGAGTTGGGGTGGTGAGTTCTTGGTGAGGGATAAATTTCTAAACGACAGCATTATGGCTTAGTAATAATGAGTTTTCTATTTAACAAAGCAAACCAGTGCTTATTGAGCACTTACTATGTGTTCAGACCCTTAAAAGGCATTCTTAGGTATCTCCCTGTTGGACAATGTAGGGGACAGGCATTCCTCCCATTTCGTGACGGAAGAACTGATAACAATAGCAAACAATTATTGAGTGCTAACCGTATGCCAGGCACTGTTGTAAGTGCTTTAGGTTTTGTCTATTGTCATACTCAAAACAGCCCTGTGAGTTAAGTTCTGTTATTCCTATTTTGTAGAGAAGGAAATGAGGCACTTAGAGGGATTCAGTCATGGGCAAGGTAGACTTAATAGGTTTGTCTTCTTAATTTAAAAAAAAAAAATTTTTTTTTTTGAGACAGGGTCTTGCTGTGTTGCCCAGGCTGGAGTGCAGTAGCATGATCTCGGCTCACTGCAGCCTCAGCTTCCCCAGGCTCAGGTGATTCTCCTGGCTCAGCCTTCCCAAGTAACTGGGACTACAGGCATGTGCCACCATGCCCAGCTAACTTTTCTGTTTTTTTATTTTTTTATTTTTTTTTGGTAGAGACAGGGTTTGCCATGTTGCCCAGGCTGGTCTCAAACTCCTGGCCTCAAGCAGTCTCCTGCCTCGGCCTCCCAAAGTGCTGGGATTACAGGTGTAAGCCACTGTGCCTGGCCCAGATTTGGCATCTTTTCTGTCTCATTAATTGATGACCCCCTGCCCAGCCTGGAGTGGTTTGATGCTGAGGCTGGCAGGACCAGGTGGGTCCTGACGGAGATGAGCCAGCTGAAGCCTGGCCTGGGCTCATAGGGTTCCTGACTGGTGCGGTGCTTCTCTGTGGGTAGAGGGATTGGGCTGGTTTTTAATGACCTCGTCCAGGAAGAAAACATCTTGGCTTTGGGACCTATGTGACTTAAAGAAAAGGTTTGCTATCTCTTCACTCAAAAGGCTCCCTTTTATTAAATCTCCTACCACCCCCTGTGGACTCCAGGCTTGAAAATATTTTATTTACAAAGAGATTGCATGCATTGAGTCACCATTAATTTTAATGAAGAAATGTGGAAAATGAGAACTATATAGCTGCTGATGAGACTTTCTCATCAGCTCAGGGGAACCAACGTGAGCACACCAGGTTGGTAGAACAGAATTCTAGTCAACAGAAAAACATTGGAAATTTCAGTTCCATTTCAATTGAGGCAGACCCGATTCTTCTAGAACTTAAACAATATTAGCAATGCCTCAAGAGCCCCCAGTGAAGTTTTCCAGAAACCTGGTTAGAATCCTTAGGCAGGACCCACCTAGCAGTGGTGCCTTCTCACTTTGTCCTGGCATGGCCAGGGTTGACCTCTGTAGAGGGACATCCCTCGTGTTTCCCCCAGGACTGAGGAAGGTTAGAATGCAGAGTTCTCTCCGGAGATGGCTGAGCTCTCTTTAGGCCCATCCACCCCTGCTCTCCTGGCTGTGCATGCAAGGCTTCTCTGTTAGGGCAGTGCAGCTTGGAGGGTAGACACACTGAGGGTGTAAGAGCCTGTGTGAACAGCTCCCATCTGCAGAGCCTCCTCTCCTTACAGATATATCCCAAGGCAGGGGTCCCATATTCCCTGCGGTTCTGAGCTGGCATTACCTGCAGCAGATGGATCACTGGACAGCGAGTCCGGAAATCATCCTTCTCCACCAAGCTTTCCCACTTAATAGCTTGGTAACCTTTGACAGATGATTTCTTTCTTTCCTAATTTGTAGCATGGGGACAGTGAGGGATACAACAGCAGTTTCTGAAACAGCAGTGACCACCATTTACTGCATTTACCCCAGGCCAGGCACTGTGTGTGGGCATGGCATTTAATCCCGGTAACACTCTATAAGATAGGGGCTGTTATGACCTCATTTCTCCGATGAGGAAGCCAGGGCTCAGAGAAGTGAAGGCATGAGCCCGTTGTTATGAAGTCATTAGATAGTAGAGCTGGGATTTGAACCCAGAGCCCCACTCTACCTTTGAGCCATGCTGCTACTTTGACAAACTTTTGGATGACTTTGGGAGATGGGGACCTTGGGGAAAAATGCACTTTGAAAGAATTGGATCATTTCAGTAGAAACCTGTAAACGTGTGTCTTAAAAAAAAATGTCAGTGACAGTTTGCTTCTCGGTGAGATGAATGCAGATAAACCTATTTTGACTGTTAACTTATTTTGTTGCTTAAAAGCCAGTGACATGTAGTGTTGAATTTATTTTTCTTCACAACATTTAAGTGTTTGCCACTTCTTGAGTGACGTGTGTGAATTTGGGAATTGCCTGTACTTTGGGAATGGAGGCCGTTGCTTGTATGTAAGGCTTTTGCCTTAAGAGGGACTTTTGGGAAGGCTTGTTCTGGCTCGGGGCCTTGCTAAGAAGCGACTCGAGTGCAGCAAGGGTACCTGTGTCTGAGGATATTGATAGAGCTGAAGCTCACTCTGAAGTTGGGGTCATGGTGGAGAGCCGATCGCAGGAGTCTTTGTGACTGGAAGCCTAAATATTTATTCTGTTCTGTCCCTAATGAAAACAAATTGTCAACAGTTGTTCGGTAACTGACTAAATTAAAATCTGTAATTAGTCAATTAGATTAAAGAGTTGGCACAACCTGATTGTATCATGCTGGTTAGGTTATTAAGAGAAAGGGTGTGATTTTTAATTACTGAATGCTAATTTTGACAGTTTCAAATAGAAACAGACGTGTTTTTCCCCTCTTTCCCTAATTCTGAATGGTTTGGAAAGTAAAGACACTCAATGTGTAAATGATGTTTTTTTGAAGAAAAATAATCCGAGAAGGCCCTTCTGTAGAGTAGGAGGGATTTCAGCAAAGAGCCCACGTTGGATTTAGTTGAAAGGGTTAGTTGGAAATCCTTCCTTTCTTGAAGAGGCATGGCTTGGTTTTTGGCAGCTTCGTTTTTGCTGTCAAGGAGAGGTTGGATTTCAGCTTTAAGCAGTCGAATCATTGAGTTCTTTTTAAGGGTCTCCCCGATTCTCTCAACTTCAGGCTTTTTTCTGGCCAGTGCCCTGGAAACTATAAGCAATAGTAAACGATCCAGGGAGGAATCCCCTGCGAAGGAAGCCCAGTGGGCGCTTTGGGACACTAGCACGTGTGAGTAATCATACCCAGTGTTGTATGAAGTGTCTTCTCATACACTGGCATCCCAGGAAGACAGACGGATGGAACGGATGTTCTTACTTCATGGAATAAAAGTTTTGCTGACTGCCTGAGGAAAGCTGAGAGCAGGGAATGAGGTGCCCCGGTGTGGAGGGTCAGGGGGAGAATGTACTCGGGGTGGGTGCTGACAGGCAAGAAGGAGGGGACTCCTGTTGAGTAGTAAGTAGCTGGGGATGACAGGAGAGAGGCCTCTTGCTTGGGAGGAAGATGGGATCGGAAAGTAGAGCCAGTTCAACTGGGTGAGGTGGTGTGCGCCTATAGTCCAGCTACTCAGGAGGTAGAGGCAGGAGGATTGCTTGAGCCCAGGAGTTGGAGGCTGCAGTGAGCTATGATCATGCCTGTGACAACATAGTGAAACTCCATCTCTTAAAAAAAAAAAAAAAAAAAAAGTAGGATCAGTTTATACATTGTGGATTGAAGCTAGCCAGAGAATTTAGCACAATTAGGGTAGATGGGTTTGAAGATGGGGCAAATCCTTCTTCCCACTTTGTTTTTCTGGCGGATGCTGTGTCGTTGCTTCCCCTGCTGACACTGGAATACGGGATATGAGCAACCTTGGAACTGGGGGTGAGAACACCTGAGCTGCTTCCAGCCAAGGGCCCCAGTACAGTGTGGATCCCCTCATTGGCCAGAGGGACCATCCCATCTCCCCATCCTCCCCAGCTCCTGGGAGTTGATGATGTGGACCGCTCCATAAGGTGCTGTGCCCGTGGGGCATTTTATCTGAAGGATAAAATGTATCTGAAGGATGTCAATCCTAAGAATAGGCTCATGGGCCACTGCAGGAAGGCCACCCAGCCCTTGCTTTTCCTTGCACAAAGGAAACCCCTCCTTCTGTGGGGAGCGAGGGGTTGAAGCTGTAACCCTAGGCCCCTGACTGCCCACTGGACAGCAGCATCCCTGTCTTGAGGGAGAGCCACCCTAAACATCTGTGCCTCTAGAACTGCACTGAACCCCACACTGCATGTTAACACAGTCTCTACTTTCTGGATGGTTTTCTTGTGGGCTGAGTCTTCCATGATACTTTTTGAAGCATCAGTTAAAATGGCCTTTAGCTTTCAACATGCAATATTTAAAGCTGTGGGTGATCCAGAATGGGTCATTTTTCTTTGAAAAAGGAAGCGACTTTACTTTTTGTGTCTGATGAATATGGGGTACTGGGGAACCAAGGTGCAGAGAACGAGAGCTTTTGAAGGTTAAGCAGCCTGGGTTCTAATCCCCACAAGAGCGCCCCCATCCACAGTGTAACCTGTGCCAGTTGATTAACCTCTGAGCCTCAGTGTCCTTATCTGTAAAATGGGGATTGTACTCAGCCTGCAGTACTGCTTTGAGATAATGAAGCAGAGCATGTTAGAAGATATTTCAGGAATGAAAGAATGAGAGGCTGAAAGGAAGGTATCTGTGCTTAGGGAGTGATTCTGGGGCACGTTTAGAAGCACGAATAAGTAAGAGGAGTGGAATGAAAAGCAGGAAGTATTTATGAATGGTGGACTGGGGTATGTTCTGAATTTGGAATTCCTCCTTCAGACTCAGGATCCATAGCCAAGGTTAAAGAAACCCATAAGAGGTTGTGTGTGTGTGTGTTTGGGGTTGGGGGCAGTGGTAGATAGAAGGGAAGGGACAGTGCTAGGAGAGAGAACATTTTAAAAGCTTCCCCACTGATAGATTTGTAGCCCTGGGTAAATAGGGAAGCTTGTAAAACTTGATTCATTTTCTTCCTGAAGTCTGTTTTTGGTGGGGAGCAGGGGTGAGGACAAAGACAGCTAAGGGAGCCAAATGCTTTTAGGTTAGGAGTGTTTATATGTCCCCAGCACAAGCCATGTCCTTGAGAAGGGCCAGGGATGTGTTTCATCCTGCTCCCTGTCCCCAAACGATCTTTCTCTTCCTAAGTGCCAGCTTCCCTAGTCCATCTGGGGAGGGACTGCCCACTGCCTGCCATCAGGGGCTGTGCTCAGGCCTCATCTAGGGATCTGCGCTCAGGATGACTTCCTACTTCCTTCCTGGCCTGCGGTTTGCTCTTTTCTTTTGGTTAGGAAGTATGTCCTTCCCTGTCCCTGCCCAGGCCTACTCTGGAGACGTGGACAGGCAGCTGGGGCCACCATTAGCCAGAGAGGAGACAGGGTGTGTCGACAACTGGAGGCCCATGTGAGCTGTTCAGGAATTAGAAGCTACTGCTCTTGGAAAACTGCTGCAGAAATGGAAAGGTGGTCAATGGGGAGAGGTGAGAAGGTGATGGGCCTTGTATGTTGGAAAAAAAAAATTTAGAGGGACTTAACGGAATATTTCTGTGTTTTGAAATAAAAATTATTTGGGGACCTAACATTAAAAAGACATCTGTGTATTTTTCTGTTAGGGTGGAATGTGAAGCCTGAGATTCCTGGGCTGTAGTTAGAGAAGGGCCAGCTCTCTGCCTTGGGGCCTTTGCACAGGCTGTTCTCCCAGCTTGGAGCACTTGCTGCCATTCTTTCTCCTCTCAGGGAACCCTGTTTATTTTTCATGTCTCAGTTTAGACATCACATAATTCTAAGATGCTTCTAATAATCTTTGAGCCTCTGGGGGCAGAGCCCATGGTGGGTCTTGTAAACTGAGGCCCTGACGCTTGGTGGATCCCCACTCAACATTTGTTGGCTGAAAGAGTGATCAGGGAGGATCAGGAGGCTGCCCACCTCCCAGGGCCCCTCTGTGCAGTCTGTGCATTTGAATGGTTCCCTGAAGTCTTAACGCCCTTAGAACAAGTCCAAGTTCGTCTGCTCAGTTCGAGCCCTGGCCTTGGTGTTTGCCTTTCTTTTCTGAAGTAGGTCTTTGACACATCGATGGAGCTTCAGATGTGAAGTGTCCTCAGAGGTGTGTGGGAAAATGCTCTCTGTTCAGTTAACCCAGCCTTTTGACAACTTCTGAGGCCTCTCGGGCTAGAAGCCCCGTGACTGTTCTCCTGCCCAGTTCTTGCTTTTTTTTTTTTTTTTTTTTGAGATGGAGTCTTGCACTGTTGCCCAGGCTGGAGTGCAGTGGCACGATCTCTGCTCACTGCAAGCTCCGCCTCCTGGGTTCATGCCATTCTCCTGCCTCAGCCTCCCAAGTAGCTGGGACTACAGGCGCCTGCCACCATGCCCGGCTAATTTTTTGTACTTTTAGTAGAGATGGGGTTTTGCTGTGTTAGCTGGGATGGTCTCGATCTCCTGACCTCGTGATCCGCCCGCCTCGGCCTCCCAAAGTGCTGGGATTACAGGCGTGAGCCACCGTGCCCGGCCGGTTCTTGCTTTTTATAAAGGGGGCTGGGGAGTGGGTGGACAGGGATGTGATCCTGGAATCCAGAACTCCATCACTCAGCCTGTGTCTTAGTGGGGTGTTAATGGAGGATGATGGAAAATAGCCCACTTCTGATTTCTCTCTCTCCCTCATAGCTCTGTAGAAATATTTTATTATTGAACACCCTGTAATTCAGGGTTGGTGGCGATTTTATCAGGTCATACAAGTCTACAGTTGACCTTTGCATTATCTAAGAAGACTTGTGTTTGCTTAGCCAAGGATAAACAAGATTCCAGTGTGGGTGGCTTAGGGCTTGGAGCTGTGGTCTCTGTGTGCAGGGTTGCTTCTAATTGTGAATGGCTCTTATCTGTTCTTCAGGGAGGGTCTAGCCACACTGTAGTACAGGGACTTCTTTATTTCTTTTTTCTTTCTTTTTTTTTTTCCTTTTAGAGACGGAGTCTCGCTCTGTCACCCAGGCTGGAGTGCAGTGGTGCGATCTTGGCTCACTACAACCTCCGCCTGCCGGGTTCAAGAAATTCTCCTGCCTCAGCCTCCCGAGTAGCTGGGACTACAGGCTCACGCCACCACGCCCGGCTAATTTTTTTTTTGTATTCTAATAGAGATGGGGTTTTACTGTGTTGCCCAGGCCGGTCTCAAACTCCTGAGCTCAGACAATCCGCCCACCTCGGCCTCCCAAAGTGCTGGGATTACAGGCATGAGCCACTGTGCCCAGCTGGGGCTTCTTTCTTTTCTTTCTTTTCTTTCTTTCCTTCCTTCCTTCTCTTTCTTTCTTTCTTTTCTTTCTTTCTTTCTCTCTCTCTCTTCTTTTTTTTTTTTTTTTGTCATGGAGTTTCGCTCTTGTTGCCCAGGCTGGAGTGCAATGGCACGATCTCGGCTCACCGCAGCCTCCGCCTCCTGGGTTCAAGTGATTCTCCTGCCTTAGCCTCCTGGGTAGCTGGGATTGCAGGCAGGCGCCACCATGCCCAGCTAATTTTGTATTTTTAGTAGATAAGGGGTTTCTCCAAGTTGGTCAGGCTGGTCTCGAACTCCCGACTTCAGGTGATCCACCTGCCTCAGTCTCCTAAAGTGCTGGGATTATAGGCATGAGCCACTGTGCCTGGCTGGGACTTCTTTATTTCTAAGCCTGCCATCCAGGCTTTTCCAAGGGCCTGAAATGCTTACTGCCTTTAAACAACTACTTTCTGCTAAAATTGTCCTAATAGTATCAGTTTAGGAAGATATTTTATCCAAAAATCCACCCATAGGTCATCAAAGATATTTGTCTTTATCAGATATTCATCTAATCTGTCTAGTCTTCCATTCATCAAATATTTGATGCCTCTGCCGTTTGGCTACGGAAGCAAAGACACCAGCAAATCTTTTGCCCTCACAGACCTCATAGACTATTTTCCTCCCCTTTATCTGGGGTTATGTGTTTTCAAAATGCTAACTGGCTGGGTGCAGTGGGTAACATCTGTAATTCTAGCACTTTGGGAGGCCAAGGTGGGAGGATCGCTTGAGCCTAGGAGTTCAAGACCAGCCTGGGCAACATAGTGAGACCCTGTCTGTAAAAAATAAGAAATAAAAATAAAATGCTTACTGCACATCTGTATTTTTTACTTATTTATTTTTTGAGACAGAGTCTCGCTCTATTGCCCAGGCTGGAGTGCAGTGGCACAGTCTCGGCTCACTGCAGCCTCTGCCTCCTGGGTTCAAGCAATTTTCCTTCCTAAGCCTCCAGAGAAGCTGGGATTACAGGTGCCTGCCACCATGCTCAGCTAATTTTTGTATTTTTAGTAGCGATGGGGTTTCACCATGTTGGCCAGGCTGATCTCGAACTCCTGACTTCAGATGATCCACCCACCTCGGCCTCCCAAAGTGCTTGGATTGCAGGCATGAGCCACCATGCCCAGCCTAACTGCACATCTTAAAATATAAGATATATCCTGTTGGTTCCAGCTGACTTGTCCCCTAGGAAGGCACAGGAATGCTTCCCAGCATCCCCTCAGGGGATTGTGGGGTCACCCTTCCCTGGGCTTGCCCCAGCACCCTGTCTCACTGCGCTGGCCAGCTCTGTCATTTTTGGACTTGTTGCTTGGACTCACCTGAGTTTTGCTTCCTCCTCTGTAAAGTGGTGGTAAATGATACCTTTGTGGTCCCAGCGTGGGTGGGTGTGGACTTGGTTGAGCCAAGTCATTTGAGGGCCTCGGCAAGGTGCCCCACCGAGGTGGGGGTGAGAGTTTGGAGAAAGTGGTGATCACCTTGGTGAGAGCACAAACTGGAGATGTAGCTGAAACAAAAATGTCCTTATAAGGCTGTTATTCTAGCAAAAATGTGTTAAAAATTGGTTATTGGAAACACAAATCTACAAGGACATAAACTAAAAGAATGAAGACTCTACTGACATGCTCTCTCTCTCTTTTTTTTTTTTTTTTTTTTTTTTTGAGATGGTGTATCACTCTGTCGCCCAGGCTGGAGTACAGTGTCACGATATCAGCTCACTGCAACCTCTGCCTCCCGAGTTTAAGTGATTGTCTTGCCTCAGCCTCCTGAGTAGCTGGGACTGCAGGCGCACGCCACCACGCCCGGCTAATTTTTGTATTTTTAGTAGAGACGGAATTTCACCATGTTGGCCAGGATGGTCTTCCTCACCTGACCTCATGATCCACCAGCCTCGGCCTCCCAGAGTGCTGGGATTACAGGCGTGAGTCACCACTTCCAGCCTCTCTCTCTTTTTTAAAAGTATTGGGGTCTTACCTTGTCACCCAGGCTGGAGTGCAGCCTCAAACTCCTCCTGCTTCAGCCTCTGAGTAGCTGGAATTACAGGCTTGTACCACCATGCCCAGCTAATTGTCAGATTTTTTTTTTTTGTAGAGGGGGTCTTGCTGTGTTTTTCCCGGCTGGTCTCAAACTTCCGGCCTTAAGCAGTTGTCCCGCTTCAGCCTCCCAAAGTGCTAGGATTACAGGTGTGAGCCATCATGCCCTGCCTAATATACTGGCTTTAAGGAAGCTTTCAGGTGCCCACACTCTGTCAGACTTGACTTAATTCTTCTAGGCTTTACCAACACCCCCAACCCCATGGTTGGGGGTGGGGCATTACAACCAGGCTGTGGTCACCTCTGAGGCACAGGTGTCAGCCACAATGCCACCTTTTCCGGTGAGTCAGCGAGTTTGTCTGGAATACCCCTCCGTAGGTGAGAGCCGGGGTCCTGGGCTGGGACCACGATGGGCCGTAGCTTCTCAGGAAGCCGAAGCTGGCCCTGGCCAGAGCTGTCTTGCAGACTTGAGATACAGATGGCTTCTTTCCCCCTCCCGTTTTCTTTTTGAAAATGTTTTTAACTCGGAGCATGTGTCGGCACGGCGTTCTTTCCACGAGGACAGAAGCTGTCACTGCACGCAGCAGAGACACTGGTTCTGATCCAAAGCCGATTGTGGCCTGCTTCTGGGTCTAATTATTTGGCAGGTCAGGTGCTGGGGTACTGTCCAGGGTGTAATCAAGACTCAAGCATTTGGGCATGGGGGTGAGGAGGAACCATGGGGAGGGGAAGGAAAAAGGAGGGGGTGTGTGACTTAGCCTGTCCAGACCACAGAGCGAGTCAATCCCCCTGGAACAGTGGCGTCCGCTGCTCTGCGGGGAGGGTCTGCCCATGACCTGGTGTGGGAGCCGAGGCCGCCACCAACTTGGGCGCCCAGCCCAGACCCTAGGAGAGGGAGGAGCCTGGAGCAGCCTTTCCCTGGCGAGATTGGCCACATTCCATTTTCCTCTCTGACCAGAGAGCCCTCTCACCCCTGGGTGTACAGGCTCTTTCCGCTAACAGAGGCCCTCCTCCAGCCCCATTGTCCCCACTGTGAGACCAGGAGTGCCCCTTTCCCAGCCCCAAAAAATGAGTGCGCTCCCAGTGTGAGGCACAGAGTGAAAGCCTCGTGTTTTAGAACGGCGGGTGGGAAGGACTTGATGCGCCGTGTTCTTGCAGGAAGGGCAGGGACGATACCGCCTTGTGCTTTGCCTGGCACATGGTAGGGGCCTAGGTATTTGGGCGAATGGAGTGATGTCCAGAGAAAGCAGGACTTTGGCTCGGGCAAGGAGTGGGTGGCAGTAGGGAGGACTGTGGTCTGTGGAAGGGTCACTGTGGCTCTTGGCTTTCTCCTACTGTCCCTGCCGATGGTGACAGCCAGCCAGCCTCCTGGCCGCACCATTGTACCGCCTCTTTCTTGGCTTGGTCCTGGGCGTGGATGTCAGATTTGCTTTGTTCATGTAAAATGTGGTGGGATCATGTCTCCCTCAAATCAAATTCCAACCAAAATCAAAACAAAACAAATCAAGCGTCTCAGTGAAGACAGCCCTGAGGGTTCTGTTGTCTCAGCCTGGGAGCCTGGGAGCCTGGTCGACCTCACCTGCTTTTCAGATTTTGCCATGTTTATTGCAGACGTCCCCGTCCTGGTGCTGGCCACTCACCTTCATTACAGGTTAATTCTCACAACCTCCAGGTGTGGTATGCAGTGGTTTTAAGGAAAGAGAAAACAGAAAAAGGCCACACAGGTAGGGCTTCACAGCATCTGAGGGCACCCAGGGTGGCCGAGGTGTGCTGCTGGCGAAGGCCCTCCTGCAGACTAGAAAACCCGCATGTCGCTCCTGCGTAGCAAGTGTCATGTCTGTTACTGGCTGACACTTTGAGGGTTTTTCTTTTCTCCAAATAAATAATTCTTTGTCTCTCTTCAGGGTGGCAGATCGGGGCTGGAGGGAGGAAGCCATCAAAAGCAACCTGGCTGACTATGAACAAGTGGGTTGGGGCGGGGACCTGGCCAGGCGGTGGCGGGGCCAGGAGAGCCAGCGTCTTGTGTCTGGCCTGGGTGGGGAGGGTGTGGGAGACACCTGAAGCCACCTCGGAAAATGTTCGGTGGGGCATTTCTTGCCCAGAGCTGTGTGAGTGAAATATTTGACTAAATGGGGAGTTCCTTCCTCGGAGGAGGATAAAGCGGGCTCTCTTTTCCTGTCCCTTTGTCTCTTGTCCCCTTTGTCCCAGCCCTCCAGCTCTGCGGCCTCCCCTCCCCCAGCGGTTCCTTCCTTTGTGCCCGCCGGCCACTCACCAGTGAAACTTAACTCAGCCCCGGGCCTCACTCCCCTCGAAACAACAGAAGGAGCTAGTAGGGGCAGGCCTGGCTGTCAGCGCCTTGGACTAAAAGGAACCAAACCGCCGTCCCAGCCCCCAATGGTGGCAGTTAATTTTGAAGTTTGGCGTTGACTGTTGGCAGTCCCTTCCGAGGGAGCAGCTTTGGAGGGGGTGTTGCTGCCCCAGCCAGAGGGATTGGGGGCTGTGGCTGAGGCCAGGAGACCTGGCCTTACACCCCTTTCCCTGGTAAAGGGCCCTGGGTTCTCCACCACAGCCCCTCTTTGTCCTGCTCTGAGTGGTTTGGAGTTCTTTGTGCAGTGGCCCAGAAATATGGACGCGCAAACTGTAACAGAGCCCCACCCACACCTCTGGGTAGCGAAGCACCCATATTTGTTACATGATTGTCTTAATCCTCTTTAAGCAAGGATTAGCGATAACTAGGGGGTTAAACAAAAATCAGAAGGAAAAACTGTAAGTTGGGGAAAATCTATCCATGAAAGAAAGTTGATGAGAATATGGGAAAGTTGGGCTGGATTCAGTTCATTTGTTATAAAAATGGGAACTCTGGCACCTTGTTTCTAAGCTGATGGCCAGAGGTCCGAGGGCATCTGCTTTTTGGGGTTGTGTGGCCTGCACGTCAGGAGAGTGCAGGGGACCGGGGCCTGTAGAGGTTCCGTAGACTTGGTGTGGATTTGTGCTGTGTTGAGGCCGAGCAGAATTGTGGTGAATCGGCACGGCTTCATTATTGCTGGAAGTATTTTTCCTTACTTAAAATATCTAATTTATTTACCCATACATGTTTAAAATAATATAGCAGATAACATGTAAATTTAGAGATACTATGTTCCACCCTAAATTTACATGATATATTTTATTCTAGGTCTTCATATGCGTTTTTGTTATCAGTGTCTTAAATGCTGTCATCAAAGCCAGTTTTTATCTTCTAACCCACCTTTCTAGGACGTATCACCAACACTCCAAGTTGTTTGACATATATTATTTTTCAGCTTTGTGTATGATGCTTCCTCTGGGAATTTTGTCCCAAGCCACAGGAATCCATTAGAACATTTAAACAGTGGCTTTGTAAAAATGTGTCTTATAGGTGTCTGTCGCTGGAAATGCTCCAGCAGATCTGAGATCCCTGCTATGATGCTGGGGGGATGGGTAGGGAGGCACCACCCTTCCTGAGTGTTAAGAGCCTGGCTGCTGGCGTCCTACCTCAAGCCACCTGTGTGACCCTGCTCTTTTCTGCAACCTCAGTATCCTCATCTAGAAGAAGCAGACAACAATGCCTAGAGCTCACTTCTCAGGATTCAGTGTGTGTGCCCAGTGGCCTGTATACACTCAGCACTCAGCACACTGAGGTTGGGCTGTTGGAGCACTCCTGCCCTTCGGGTTTACGGAGTAACCTTGAGGGCTTATCAGGCAGGGCCTGGAGGCAGACCTTGTGGGGAAAGGGAGGAGCACCGTGGGTTTCAGTTTTGGGTTTTGGAGTGGGGAAACCATTCCAGGGGAAAGGGGTATGCTTTCAGTAATGGCGATGAGGCCTGTGGCACCCTCACCCCATTTATTGATTGCTTGCCTTTAACCGTAGTGTCTTTGCCAGCCCTCTGGCATTTCCGGAGTGGAATGTTTTAAATGCCCTTGACTGAGGACTGTGTGTCCTGGAGGTGAGAGAGGGCCTTACCTCTCTCTCATTCTGTAGAAAAGCTTTGTCATTTAATGCTTTTTATTTCAAAGCTGGTAAAAACTTACCTGGACTTGTAACAGAGGGGCCAGGCTCTTTGTGTGTGAGTCATCATTGTCATGGTCATGACTTGGTCACAGGGTGACAGATGGTAGCCACACCCCTAGGCCTCAGTTGGGACAGAAACTCCTGGGATGGGCAGTGGCAGAAGTGTCTGTCAAGGGTGCCCAGGTTGTCGGGACAGATTTGCATCGCCGTTTGTAAATAAGTACTGCTTTGAATATCTACCTTTGATGCGCTGGTGGTGGAGGAGCTGGGATTCCCAATTTAGATGTTTGATGTAATTTGAAACTGAAACAATCAAAAGTCTATCTCATGAAGAAGAAAAGGAGGGTGAAAGCCCCCCTCCTAGAAGTTGTCACCTGGCTGAGATTTTAATCTGTGTGGTTTGAAGGAGTCCAGGCTGACCATATGTTGAAGGCCCTGCCCCAAAGACGAGTTTTTCCTTCACATTATTGCATTTCATTGAGAGAATTAGCAAAATGAAGTCAGAGCAGGCAGCGTGTCTTGTTACTTGGTGGAGCTGTAAGGGCTGCGTCTTCAGGTTGGGAGCACCATTCCTTGACTCACCATTGCTGGTGGCCAAAGCAAGAAATGGGTAGTGGGTTTAGAGGCTGGCAGTGTTGGCAGTGGTAACATGCCTAAAAGTGGAATTGTGTGGACTAAAGAACTTGAGGAAAGGGGTAGGGTGGGGGCAGGTTTTTTCCTGAATGGGCAAGGCCTCAGGGCCACTATACCTCTTAGAGGTGTGTGAGACAAACACACACACACACACACCCACGCATGCACGCACACGAGTGAACAGGGTGGAGGGGAGACCAGAGACTAAGGGAGGAGGAGGGGGTCCAGGAGTGGATGGCTGGGCTTGGGGGAGGGGTCCCTGTTTGCATAACTGATTGTTGCTCCTGGGTACTGTGGAGTGGGGGAAGCCAGCACAAAGGCTCTTTCCTCCCCCTCCCTCCCTGCCCTGTATCCCTCTACCTCTCCTACTTATCCCTCTCCTTCCTCTTCCCTGCTCTCCTCCTTCCCCTCCCTTTCCTCCCAGAGCCTGGTCAGCACCACCTTGTGGCCCCCCTGGGCAGCGGATGGCACTGGGCTGGCCTTGCCTTTGCTTCCCTGCAGGCAGGGTTTGCCACCGCCAGGGCCCTGTGGCAGGCAGGGCCACCGCAGCCGCCTGTAGCGTCAAGATAAAGTCCAGTCCAGAGGAAGGCTCTGGCTGTGGGTCACCCTTTAAAGGCTGTTACTTTACATAGATGGCTTCTATGTGAACTCTGAGGTGCTCGCCCCTCACCATCCTTTCCACCAGGCGACTGGAGGCTTCTGGAGGGGGACTGGCTGGGGGCGCCTCTCATGAATGGTTTTTCTGGATCCTGTCTCCTGGGCCCACAACTTGACACTCTTGAAGAAGCACTGGAGTCACAGTCAGCTGCTGGTGTGAAAGTGGCTGGCAGCAGGAGTATACTGTAGCAGCTTCAAGCAGGCCTCAGAATGTGGATGAGGTGGAGGTGCCTGTGGACTGGCCTGTGGGAAAGAGCTCAGAGCAGAGTCCTCTGGCAGACCCCAGTCTGGCTGGTCCACCACACATCTTTGCTAAATAAATAAATTGAATGCATGCATGCATGCATGCATGCAGTGTGATCCCCCCCAAGTAGGAATGAATAAATTCCCCTAGGTGGTTTGTCATCCACGTGTGGGCTTTTCTATCTGATCCTTAGTTTCCCTGTCAGTCCCATGGTGGTGACTTTTCAGCACTGTCAGGCTGTCTGATGATGGCTGTTGTGCTGCGGAGCCCTCCAGGCTCTGACCACGGGGTCCTGCCCAACACCTGGGGACACAGAGACAGAAGCAGGCCCTGTGGACAGCTAGTGGAGAAGACGGGTAGCATGTGCAGGGCCAGGGGCATATCCTGGCCCAGCCTCCTCTACTGCCTTTTTTGGCTTGCCCCAGGATAAGGTTACAGATTGGGAGCCAAGACTCCCACAGTGACGGGGTGGGGTGTTGTGCATCTTCCCACGGGATGCTCTCGTCCCCTCCCCCTCTCTGGCCCCTGGCCTCCTGCCCACCTGAGTGGTGCTTGTGCTTCGGCTGTATGACCTTTTCATGAAATGAAAACTAAAGAATGTTTTTAAGCAAGTTCATGCTCTGGAAGTCAGTTAGCTCACGTTGATAGCCCTGATATCTCACGTTGGATTAGGTGGGGTCTGCATTTTACACTCTGTCTGGGTTCTTGGGGTCAGGGTTGTGTGTGGTTAGCATGGATTTGCTTTGCATTCTGTCCCCTGCCAGGTGGGGTGGGGGATGGAGGGAGAAAGGGATGGGGACAGCTTGTTCCACCTGAACAGGCTTCACTGATTGACTTGCTTCTTCACCTTGGCTTCTGTGAAATGGGGATAATGTAAGCATCCATTATAGGATAGTTGAGGGTGGTTTGTGAACAAATTTCATCCTGGAGAATGTGAGGTGTTTGGTGTCAGTTCTCCTGGAAAGGCTTGGACAGGTCAAGAACTTTTAGATGGGAAGGAGCAGGGCCAGCAGGGCCTCAAGAAAGTGTGATGCCCTTTTGGGGCTTACTGAAGAGATTAATGACAAAGGTGGTGTGGGATGACCTGGGATGTTTGCTCAGAGTCGTCTTCCCGGAGCCTGTGCTCCTTGTGAGTAGCGGCAGGAACCAGGGCTGCAGGCTGCAGGCCTCCTGGCTACCCAGTCTCTGGATCCCCAACACGCCGTGGGCTGCCGGCCACCTGCCTCCGCACACATTCCCGCGCACCTGCGTCTTACCTGCCCAGCCTGCCTTCCAAGGCTCAGTGTAAGCCCTAACTTCTCCTAAGAAAGCTGCCCTGGGCTACTTTGCCATTCTCAAAGACAGGCTTCCAGCCAGTGCCCATTGGGCTCTTTGAGCCCTTTAGTCACCTCTTCCCATGATGTCCTTGTGCACGGCTCTGGAGAAGCCTCTGTAATAACCTGCCTTTCCTGTCCAGCAGGAAAGAGTCTAGTGGGGATAACGGGATGAACTTCACACTGACCGCAGCTCTGGTGGTCCAGACGTGCACACCATGGGAAACAACTCATGTCTCCCACGGTCAGCCCAGGGCACTCAGCTCAGACACTTTCCTCAAGCAGCCCCTGGGTGTGAGTAGGGAGTTGGGGGCAATTCTGAGCTGGTGTGCCGAGAGGCATTCCTGTTTTTTTTTTTTTTTTTCTTGAAACAGGGTCTTACTCTGTCACCCAGGCTGGAGTGCAGTGGTGCAATCTCGGCTCCCTGCAGCTTCCACCTCCCGGGCTCAAGCAATCCTCCCCCATCAGCCTCCCAAGTAGCTGGGACTACAGGCATGCGCCGCCACATATGGCTAATTTTTGTATTTTTTTTTATAGAGATGGGGTTTCACCATGTTGTCTAGTCTGGTCTTGAACTCCTGGTCTCAAGCAATCCACCCGCCTCAGCTTCCCAAAATGTTGGGGTTACAGATGTGAGCCACTGCGCCCAGCCTGTTGCTGTTTTTTTCAAAACAACTCTTTGCTGACCCTTCTAAATCCATCCAGGGCAGCCCCAGAGGCCCAGATTGGCTGGATTCGTGTAACCCTTCTCAACTCTGTAACTAGAATCATGAAGGGTGGCACTCGCTTTTTATAGAAGAGGAAACCGAGTCCCAGACAGGGAAGAGGCCGCTTGATTGACAGAAAGGGGCCCCAGAGGCTGTTGAAAATTTCCCTTCAGCCGTCAGTGGTGGGCTGGTAGGTCTCACCTTGCTCCCAAGACTGTTGCCATTAGCAACCAACTTCCCCTGTTGGTTCTGGGGGCCCTGGAGGGGAAGAGGGAAGAAGGTGAAGCAATGCTGTCAGGTGGCAGCTGAGTGTCTGTGCCAGGAGGTTATGCGGGTGACACCAGGAAGAGGGCCCAGGCACACAGAGTCACGCGTGCACAGCCCGTTGGTTTGCTCTTCATCATTCCCAGCCATGGGGAAATTATATAAAGACATTGCATTTTTTACAAAAACATCTCCCCCTGCCTCCCAACAAAAGAATAGAAAAGGAAGAAGATTGTAGAAAAAGAGGAGGACTAGGCATAGGGTCTGCTGGAGTCAGGGAGGCTTTGCCCTTGTCCTGGCCCTACCGTTCTCCAGCTGTGTGGCCCTGGGTTAATTGCCTGGCCCCTGGGGCCTCAGTTTATCCATTCATAAAAGAGGGGACAGGGTACAGGTATACACTAGCAATACAGGTGTGCAGTGCTCAGCCCCATGCCTGATGCTCCTGAGCCCTCAGGAAAGGATTGTGGGTGGAAGAGCGTCGGAAACCTGCAGTGGGTGGGTTTCCAGTCACGTGGTCACCATTTATTGAGTGTAGCCTAGATCCTGCCACAGGTATGGCACTAGGGGGATGCAGACTTGAGCCAGGATTGTGTTGATTGTTGTCTGGAACGGCAGACAGACTAATTGACAAGGTAGGTGGTGGTCAGTGCTCATGGGGAACACAGGCAGAGTTTGAAGGGAGCCCAGAGAGGGGAGTCGCTGGCTGCTTTAGGGGCTGGGAAGGCTTCCTGGAGGGGGTGTTGCTGCTGGGCCTCAAGGAGTGAGAAAGAAAGTGGAGGGGAAGGGGCATTCCAGGCAGGTGCAGATCTTTGTCTTGGAGGATTATGGCCAGTGAACACTGATAGTGCCTGACATTTATTGGGCTCTCAGTCTGTGCCAGCCCCTGTTCTCAGTGCTTTCAACATGAGGTAGTTTAATCCTCCAGACCAACCCTGCAAGGCAGGTATTACCCCATTTTGCAGTTGGAGAACTGAGCCACAGAGAAGGGAAGTAATTTGTCAGGGCTTACACGGCATGTGGGACTCAGTCTGGAAACCTTTAGAGTCAGGCTCGGGAGACCAGGCACATGCCTAGCCTGCCTTGCCTGACAGGAACCCAGGTCTGGTTGTTGGAGATACTCATTAACTAGTGGTTTGGGAGAGTTGGTGAGTCCCTTCCAACTCAGTTTCCTTATCTGTAAAGTGAGTATAACCCATGTCCGTGAAAGGATGAGGTTCTCGGGTGGAGTTGGCTGTATGAGATGTGCTCAGAGAGTGCCTCATGTTGTGGGAGGCCCTTCCCTCGGTTCCTGTACCAGGTGGTGGTTGCAGGGTAGAAAGGTGTTTAATCTTAAGGTAGCCACTCCCCCACCCCTGCCCGACTGTCTTCGTTTTTGAGGCCAGGAGCCTGTCAGCTTTGGCAGGATTAGATAAAACGTGGGCACGGTGCCCAGTGCAGCACCGGCACATGCACAGTCCCTGTACGCAGTTGTCATTTTTATTATTGTGTCTTCTCTCTCGATATTGATGATTGTTAACTGATGGTCCTCTCATCAGTCCTATGGGTGATTTTAGCCTCACTTTAGAAGAGGCGGTAGCTTGGGGGTGGAGAGTGCATCCAGAGGCACCATCATTGCAGACACACTGAAACACCAAACTGGGTGTGTCTCTCTCCCATTCCTGTGCCCGTGTCACAGTAGAGGAAGGCCCCAGCAGGCACTCCCTATGTGTTGGCAAACAAGGCTTAAAATCGCCCAAGCCTTCCCCAGAGCCAGCCTTCTGAAGCAAGTCATCATGTAAGGTGTGACATGTTCATGCACACATGGCATCCACACACGCTTTCTTCCACTTGGGCGCTTGAGCTCATGGTAGTGTCTACTCAGTCCACAATGGAGTGTTCCTCGGTGCTGGAGTTAATGCGCTCTAAACCTAATCTTAACTCTGAGCAACTTAGTCTTGTGAGAACATGCAGCTCCTATCTGAGAATAGTGTTTGCCTGCAGGGCGACCTGATATGGCTATGAAAATAATGCAGTGGAACAAGTGTCTGTAGCTTTGGGGTGTTTGGAGACCTTTCTCGTGGCCCTTCAGCATACCCCCCCTTGGGTGGTCTTCTGGCAGCAGTCTTGTTGCTCCTCTCCCATCCAGCCGCCACTGGAGAGGGGGTTGGCCCTGTCTTTTCAATCACTGAGCCCTGGGGTATTACAGCATTTGGGTCTCAGGACCATGTGTGCTTACGGCACAGTGCTAAGAACATCAGGAAGAACACCAAAGACACTGGGATCCCTTGATCTTGTATGACGGGGGAACCGTTCCCAAGTCTAAAATTGAGCTGAGCCATGCTGAGGGCTGCCACCACTCACAGCCACCACACGCATGCTCATTCTTTGTTGATTTGGAAGCCTCTTCAGGAACATGTAGTGCCTGAGGGCCACTCTTGTGGAGAAGAACTGTAATCCCTTACATATAATAATCCCCTGCACTGGACACTTTGTAGAACAATCTCCTGTATGTGAGCTCATTGGCACCCTCTAGCAGTCCTGGGGCAGTGACAGACAAGGCTTATTACCCCGTTTTGTTGATAAAAACGCAGGTGGCTTTAGTGACTTTCTAAAGTCACGTGTCCAGTATATGATGAAGCAAAGAGTAAAAATCCAATCTGAAGGCTAGTGATGGTGCACAGGACAGATGGTAAATGCTTGGCACATACTCCGGCATTCCTCCCTTGCTCGTGTCAGACATTGCAAGTTGATCACGGTAACTCTTTTTCTGCCAACCCGGGTTCAGAATTATTTTCAGAACACAGCCTTCTAGTCAGCCATTATCAATCGAATAGCATCGCCATGCAAGGTGAGTTTGTTGTCATCGGAGTCACAGACCAGGCTGGAAGTTGGCCAGTGATGTTGTTTCCTGGTCGTTTGGATTTCCAGATAAGTGAAAGTTGGATGCAGACGGTAAATGAATTCCATTTGGAAGCCCTGTACCTGCTTGACAGCCAGCCACCAGCTTCCAGGAAGGCCCTGGAGGATCTTAGGGAGGTGCATGGTGATTGACTGAAGAAGGTTTGCTTGCATTGGAGTGCCAGGTGGTGACCCTGAAGAGGACGGAGGGTTGGGACAAGCTAATTGTGGAGACATGATGGAACCCTCCCAGTTGAAGGAAGCTTAGAGGAGGAAAACTTCTCTTCCAGGCATCTTGAGTTCTACTCCACATTTTGATTTCTCTTGGGATGTTGCAAGGATGGTTTTTCATATCACACAAAGCTTCATGGGACATGGGGATCCCGAGAGAGGCAGCAGGGTAAAAAAAAATGGAGCAATGTTGTGCCCAGGATACCGTCGAGGGTACTAATCTTGGGAATCCCATCTCAACCAAAGGGACAGGGTCACGTTCTCAGACTGGTTGGTGAGTCTGAGTATCTGATTCTGTTCTGAGCGTCCTCAGACTGGTTGGTGAGTCTGAGTATCTGATTCTGTTCTGAGCGTCTTCGTACACCAGGTTTGAGGTGGAGGTTGAGTTTGAAGTTCTCATTCAAGTTGAACCTTGAATTTTGCATCTGCCCTTGTATAGCCAGACCACAAGAACAGACGACTGCAGGACTTCTTCACCTCCAGTCTTTCCTTCACGTGGAGACACAGAAACCGTCTGCCACGGTCACCTAACTAGTGGTTCTCTTTTTTTTTGATCACATAACTCTTCAAACATTAGCCGATTTCTTGCTGTCAGCCTCCACGTGGATATTCTTGACCTTGGTTTTCAAGATGCCTTTTTATCCATCCACCTAGCTGCACAGTCCCTCTCATCTCCCCCAGCAATGGTCACCCTAGCTCCCTGCCTTCCTGCATAGGCAGGCCTCCCAGTTTGTGCCCCCCCACCCCCGTCCCCCCAATCCCGTGGAGCCTCTGCGGGAATAAGTTCACCTCAAACCCTCGCCTTTCCCAGGGAGCCTGGCTTGGGCCCCCCCCCCGACTCAAGAGGACTTTTTCCCATGTGCAATGCAGATTTAAAGAAAATCAACGGTCGCAGTTTGGAAGGACCACACAGGACATAGGTTTCAGTGGTTTCTGACTTACTTTTTTTCGTTTTAGCAGAAAGAGCTTTTCTTTAAATGAAGTCTTACGTGGAAGTGCAAATAATAAAACAAAAATGGAGCCATCTACTTGTTTTAGGGGAGTGTGGTGCTGTGAATTCTGCTCACTGGGTTTCCCACCTTTACACCTCCCCTCATGCCCCCAAGGGTTTTACCTTTGAAGAGAGCACAGATCTAGGTACCTCTGATTTAGTCAGCTCCCAGTTGGAGAAGTTGTGTCTAGAATAGAGAGACGACTTGCCTGAAGATTCCCTAGTAAGTGAGAGCCACGGGGGCCCCCAGGCCTCCCTGCCATATCCAGGGTGCTTTTTAGTCTATCAGCTTTCCCAGCTCTTCAGTGAGATGTTCAGGCACATTTCAATAAAGGGTCTATAGCCAGCTCTTTGTGGGGAGTGGAAAGAGTGAAGCAGCTTCTTTAGTGTAGGGCTTCTCAGAGTTTCTAGTGTACTAGGGTGCATTGCAGATCTCAGAAGTGGAGTAGATGGATTTAAAAAAAGACAGTAATTCTCACACCTGTTTATTGCAAGACCTTATCTGGTTAAATAATCCTAAAATGGTTTCAGAAATGCTTCAGGCAGGTAATGAGTTGTGAGTTGGTTTCTGATTTTTTTTTTTTCCCTAAATGTGGGGAACTATGGGTCCAGTTGGCAATCCACGAACAAGTCCCTTCTCCCTGGCTGCAGCATAGCATCTCTGTCCTTGAGAGCCCCTGTTTTTCTTCATTAAGCACCTATTTTGATGTTAGGTGAAGGGCTCCCATGGGTCCCTCCATGTCATTAAGGTTTTCTTTTTTTTTTTTTTTTTTTTGAGATGGAGTCTCGTTCTGCTGGAGTGCAGTGGCGTGATCTTGGCTCACTGCAAGCTCCGCCTCCCGGGTTCATGCCATTTTTCTGCCTCAGCCTCCTGAGTAGCTGGGACTACAGGTGCGCACCACCATGGCTAACTTTTGTATTTTTAGTAGAGACAGGGTTTCACCATGTTGGCCAGGCTGGTCTCGAACTCCTGACCTCAAGTGTTCCACCCTCCTGGGTCTCCCAAAGTGTTGGGATTACAGGTGTGAGCCACTGTGCCCGGCCTAGGTTTTCTATCTTTTTAAATGAGTATATGTTATGCTTCTTGGATGTGGCATAATTCACCAGTTCCTTACTATTGCTTGTTTCCAGTTTTCCAGTTAAGAATTCTTTTGCATTAAGATTCTTTTCAGCTTTCTCATAATGTAAATAGTAATGTGATGAACATCCTTATGGCTAAATGTTTGTGCACATAAACACAATGGTATTCTTATGTGTAAAGTTGTTGGTCCAGTGGTACACAGAGCACACTTTAGAAACAAAAATCCATCAGAATTGCCAGCACATTGCTTAAGAGTGATTTGAGTTTTACTTCCTAGTGTTGCTCCTAGCAAAGGTGGGGACCCGCCGCAGAGGCAGCCTTTGGCCCAGGTAACCAGTCTCTGGGACATCAGAGAAGGACCTCATGTAGCTTGCCGTGCTGCCTTATCTGGCTAGTCTGGCACCAGAGTGCTGGGACTCTGCCCCTCGTCCTTTCTCCACTCATTCTTCCAACACTGCTTGAGCAGTGGGCCCTGTAGGGACTTAATACATATTAATTGACAGATTCAGATGCTTTTCCCTGTGTAAGAGCTCAGTAGTGGAGACCCATTTGTCTGAATGCTTTTTACGTCCCTGAAACCTTGCATGAGAGGCACAGATTGGACTACAGAGACAATGGGGCATCAGGGACCTTGTTCGCAAGAAGGTTTCTGTCTCTGCTTTTATTGCCTGGATCATGCCTGACTCCAAAACGATGGCTGGTATTCTCAGAAGGTGAGTATCAGGGCGGGGGTTTATGGGCAAGAGCGATTGGTGGCATTCTCCCCCGCACCTATCTTTTGCCCAAGTAGATCATTTTGGAAAAGAACTGGCTTATGGAGGTAGACTAGGATTAACCCTTAAAAACCAGCTCAGACTCCAGCAGCAAAGGAAAGAGGCAGCCCTACTTCTGGCCTCTGGTATGCGTGGCACTGTATCAGATCTTTGCATGCTACTTCAGGTGATCCCCATGAGAACCCGCAGGGTAAATAATAGCACAGTTCCCTTTCCAGCACGAGGGATTCGGAGGCTCTGAGAGGCTTAGTGCCATGAACAGTGTCACTCAGTTGTAAATGGGAGGGGGAAGTACTGAGACTGGAAGCCAGGTTTGTCTGAATCCAAAGCCACTTCTTACCAAGCTTTCGGTCCAGGAAGATTGAACGCTTCTAAAGTTTTATTAGAATTCAATCAGAATGGTTTCAAAGTCTTTTGTAGGAGGTAAGTTTAACATGATTCTTTATACTAAGCCATTTATTTTTAATTATTCAAGTAATACCTAAGTACTTCTTTTGTTAAAAATTGCTAAAATATAGAGGTATATAAAATAAGAAGTGAAGCAAAACTCCCTGCCCTTCACTGTCCTCCTGTGCATCCTGGTACCAGGTATAACTAGTTGGAGGATGTCCTTCTAGACCTTTTTCTGTGTGTTCACATGAATTGATACCTGTCTTGATTCAGCCCTGAAAGCCATTTCAGTTCTGAATGAAGGCCCCTAGTTTACTTTAATTTCAGCAAACCAGAATTTAATAGCAGCATACTAGTCTGTAACTTTGGGTAAGTTGCTTATCCTAGAGAGATCAAGCATCACATTCCTCATCTGTATACTTGGGGTGATAGTCCTAGAGTATCTTAGGACTGTTGAGAGGTAACTATGTAATGGCCCAGTATATGGTGCAAATATACTGTACCAGGTACTCAGGAAAGGGACTGGGGACTCCGCCTCCATGCTGCAGGAATGGGTATAGTTAGTACTCTGCCTTCAGAGTCGTGTGGGCAACAATGATGAAAATAGGCATGAGTAAAGATAAGCTATAAATGCCATCAGAGGGGTGTTAGCAGCAGCTGGAGCTCCAGGCTCCACTGGGGAGCAGTTAACTCACAGAGGGAATTAAGGAAGACTTTCTGGAAAAAGTACCCTCCAAGGAGGGGTGGGGACCTTAATGATACTAATTCAGCCCTGCCTTTGTGCCAGGCAGTGTTCTGAGTGGTCTGTGTAAACTAATTTAGCCCATATCAGTAACTCCGTGAGGTCAGAACTGCGATTAGTTTCCCAGATGAGTAAACTTAGGCAGAGAGAGGTTAAGGAACCTGCCCAAGTTTATACAGCTAGTAAGTGGCTGAGACAGGATTTGAGCATAGGCAAACTAGTTCTTCTAGAGTCAGTGCTCTTAACAGTTAGGTTGTGCAGCCCACCAGATTTCAAGGAAAGAAGTGGGCCAGAGAAGCACAGGAACCAGTGTGAGCAAGGTGCAGGGTGTGCAGAAGCTGTTGGCAGATCCAGGGAGAAGGCAGGCTTTCCAGGTGAGGGGGTATGGCCGTTCATGACGGAGCTGGGTAGGGTGACTGCGGCAGACAAGGGAGTACCTAGGATCACCAATATCTGATGGTTGGGCCACGCCCACCCAGTTCTGTGACTTGAGTGGGAGGGCATGTGCCTTCCCTCACATCGTGCCAGCTCCTAACCTGCTCAGGCCACTTAGTAGCTCATAGGCAGCTTCGTGCTTTTCTGCGCCCCACTTGTTGCCTTTCACTTAGGCTCTCAAATAGTAGAGTATTACTGTCAATGTTTTGGTTACTGCATTTTTGAAATTAATTTAAGAAAGTCTTAACACTGACACTTCTTAACCACTAGCCTTCCAACACACACACACACACGCACACCTTTCTTCAGGGAACCAGGTTGGTGACACGATAGAGCATGTCCTCACCCTGTCGTACCTGTGGCTGCCAAGGGCCTTTCGACATTGTGTGTGATGCCCTCGCTCTTAGATTGCTTCACCGCATGGCACAATGGAGCCTCTGTCAATACGGCAGCTAATTAATTTTAACTTTGGGATGTTGCTTCATCTCCATGCACCATTCACATTGTCTGGTGTTTTCCTGGTGCGGGTGCAAAAAAAGCTCTTCGGCGCCTTTGTCTTGTTGCTGACCCTCCTTCTCAGCCCCTCTTCCCTCCCTCCTGCCCCTCTGTGCAGGCCTGGGGCCTCTCCATCTGCATTTCCCTCTCAGCCTGATTTTCCACAGCTGTTTTGGGGGAAGTGCTGGGCATTCCTTTTGGGAGAGGTCTTAATTATTGAAATGTTAAAATGTAGCACAAACCCCGCTAGTTTGGACTATTCACGGGCAGAGTTGTGTGAGAAGCAGAAAAGCTGACGTTGCAGGTAATGGGGAGAGAAAGGCTGTTTGGGTTCGATACTGCCAAGTTCACCATCATTGCTGAGAGGAGGAGTGGCCATAGTCTGGGCAGGGAGAGAGGCAGGATTGATCATTAGCACACGTGCTTTTGGGTGTGTGGAATGGGTATTTAGAAAGGGCTGAAGATAGGCTGCCCTTGGGATATTAGTTTGCTTAGACCATCCCATGTGCTCTTCTTCCCCTCCCCATTTTTCACATTTCTCATGTTAAGCTTGAGCCAAGCATTAATGTTTATTTGTGGGACTTGATATTCTATTTATATTTTCCCCTGCTGCTGGTGTTTTGTTTTGAGAAGCCTCACCCCTTCCTCTTTGTTAAACAGAGTGCTAGGTTGGGAGGCAGGTGGGACCTCAGTCCTTCTAGCAGACTGGCTCTGGCAGGTCATCTCCCCTTCTCTGGGTCTCAGTAAGCATTTACAAAGTAGAGGTGCTGAACTAGCTGTCTTTATTCTTTGGAACCTGTCTATTACGGCAGCCTTTGTGATGGAATGTACTTGACACTAGAGTAGGGTTTGGCCAACTTTTTCTATAAAGGACCAGAGAGTAAATATTTCAGGCTTTGTGGGTTGTGCAGTCTCTCTTGCAACTACTCAGCTCTGCCATTGTAGCATAGAAATCAGCCATAGACAGGACAGAAATGAATGGGTGTGGTTGTGTCCCAATAAAACTTTATTTACAAATACAGGTGGTATAAGTAAGGCCCTTGGGCCTTACTGGTTTGCCAACCTAAGCTCTAGAGTGTTCTCTTTGGCTGCCATGATGTCTTCTCATACACTAGGCTAGTCTGTAAAGGAAGAAGTTCTTCTTTGAATTAGGGACCAACACCTGAACCCTCCTGAGGCCTGGCCTTGCCATGAATCTGGTCTGCCCCCTTTGTTTCCCCTCTGGTTGCTGGGGAGGTGGCCTGTCCAGGCCTCTCTAGGGAGCCAGGTGTGCCTAGCTCTATGCAAATCACCCTGTTCCTGAAGAGTTGTAAGATTTGGTAAATCCTATTTTAAGTCCGATTAAGGAAAGTCTCTACCACAAAACAATATACCTTTCCCTATACATTTCTTCTGCAGTATACCTTTATGGTGGAAAGAAAATAAACAATGGTTGCTTTTTAAAATTTGGTTTTTTGTTTTGTTTTGTTTTTGGGGGACTTTTATTTTTACATTAAAAAAATGATGGTGCAGGGGGTGGTTTCAGGGGTAATAGTGTTGTTCTCCCTCCCATATAACTTATTTTTCAGTCTATTTCTTTGAGGGCCAGAGAAGATTGTGGTTGGTGTGAGAGTAAGGGGCGTAGAGTATAAATGAAGGGTAAATTTGTTGACTTGTCTAATTTATAACTGTCCGATGTGGCATCAGATTGCTGATTTGGTAGCATAGTCATCTGTCATAATTTTGAATTGTGCTAAATACTTTTGAATTGTGCTAAGTACTTTTTCTCCAGGTGAAGAAATACTCATGATTCACACCATTGCTGAGAGCTGTGTGGGTCTTCCCTTTTGAGATGGCTGGTAGGGAGAGGGTACCCTTGTCCCCATTTCCCAGATTGGTGAAACAAGGCACTGTGTGGTTAGGAGGTTTGCAGTTCTGGATTGAAAGTTCATGTGGCTGTGATGAGCAGTGTCTGTCATTTTCCCTTGGAAACTGAGATGTGACTCAGCAAACAGTATCCAGCTGTTCAGGGGCTGTGCTAGAGTGGGCTTCTTAATGCCTGGTGCCTTTCATCCCAGGAATGACCTCTAGACAGCATTCTATCCACACTGATGGAGGCTGGGAGGACTGCACCCTCTTTCCAAGACTCCCTGTGTAAATATGGAGTCTTAGTAAGACAACAGTGTCTAAGTATCCCTCTGCCCCGCCCCCCGTGAGACAGTTCATCTCCCAGGCCTCCATCCAGTCAGATTGCAACTCCTGGGCAGCACCCAGCTCTTATAAATGCCTGTCCTCGCCGTTATCTGGGAGAGAAAACGAGGGGTAAAACAACAACAACAGCCCACCACTGAAAGCAGGACTAATCCCCAGGGCAGTCTAGCGTGTGGCTCAGATGCTCAGACAAATGTTTAGACAGCTTAAGAAGGTAAACTAGAACTTACATGAATAAAACCATCTGCCTGGTCTAAGAAAAAGGTTAGATTTGGGGGCCTGCTATTTTCAGATGCTTTCAAGGCCGGGAGCTTATAGGGTGGGGGATATACCACTGAGTGTTCCTTCCTGGTCTAATATCTTGCGCCTATGTAGGGGCTGCCCGGAGGAGCCCAGGTCGGGTAGAGGCTTCCGCCTTCTGGGTCCTTACTCACCAAGTAGACTATCTGTGGCCATAAAGAGGATTTGACCTGGGTACCTCTGATCCCATTTGCTCACTAAGTCAGTCTTTCCACAAAGCAACCCCTGGGGGCCCTTCACTCTTTGCCAGGCCCTTTCTTGGGGAAGAGAGGATGGTTTGTGGAGAGAGAGACCCTGGGGACTGCTCTGTCTCAAAGGATGCTGGCTGATGCCACATATTGGGCATGTGGAGATTTGCTCTTAGTTGAGCAGCTGCTTGCTGCCAGGATGGTCCACTGCTGGCAGGGTTACTGAGCTCGCTCTTGGGAGCTCTGGGTCTAGCATGAGGAGATGAATGAATACTGAGAAAAGGGAGAGATCTTTCTTGCTGAGATGTTTGTGTGGGTGTGTTTATTTGTGGTCTCCTACGCTTGTCCTTACCATGATGGTAAAGATGGGCATGAAGATAATTAAGATGGCAGGCTGGGAATGAAAAGATACAAATTCTGAATTTTGCCTTAAACCACCCAAGAAATCTTTGCCAGGTCTTTAATACCTCTCCTTCCTGAACTTTTAAAATTACGCCTCCAGTCTCTTTCTGGGAGAGCTTTCTGTGGTTGCACCCTCTTTCAGTGAGGAAGGGAGAACTGAACCCATGGCGGAAGGACGATGACAACACCTCCCAGTCAGGGACAGTTAAAAATTAGGGCTTTTGCCATTAAATGAGAATCCACATTGACCAGTAGTATCATCGTGGTGGTGGGGAGGTTGAGTGTATCTGGCATGTCTGGAAAGGCCACTTGTCTTGATTTTGGTTGTCACATCTGTCTGCTGCTTGTAGATGCTCTGTTGATAGATACCACTGATGGTGGCCTTGCTTGTTCAGCTCGCTGCCGGGCTTTGGGGAGCGCAAGGGGATATCCCACGTTCTGCGAGAACAGGTTCCGCACCTCCTCTCTGAGGCCCCCTGCTCAGGACCAGAGTTATCCAAGAGGCTCTGTGAATTCCGTTCAGCCTGGGAGGGCCTTGCTCTATTGGGGGCAGTGTTTCTCTGCTTATCCCACACTCAGCGGGAGTGCGTGTGGGGTTCATCTGCAGCTTCGGAAGGGCTCTTTTCTTTTTAGGGTTGTTCGGTTTTCCACGTTTCCCCATTTCTGCTTTAAACCTCTATCTGTTTAATTTCCTGAGAAGGGAGCAAAAAACTCTAGATGAATTAGGTTTTATGAAAATTTACCTCTTTATAGTTAGCACAGGCCAGGTTACAGGATGTGAATTTTCATAAAACGTTATCTTGTGAACTGGTCTTGATTATCCTTTGTCCTGAATTAGCATCTCCCTTCTAGGGTAGAAGTAATTGTAAGGTTTAGAGCTGGAAATGAAGTAGGTCCCTCTGTGAGTGAGGGATTGTGGAGGCTCACTCTCTATGCAAACTGCTTTTACATGCATTATCTTAGTTAGTTCTTTTTTTTGAGACAGGGTCTCATTTTGTTTCCCAGGCTGGAATGCAGTGGTACAGTCATAGCTCACTGCAGCCTCAACCTCCTGGGCTCAAGCAGTCCTCCCACCTCAGCCTCCAACGTAGCTGGGACTACAGGCATGTACCCCTTGCCACATCTGGCAGATTTTTTTTTTTTTTTTTTAAGTAGAGACAAGGTCTTACTATGTTGTCCAGGCTGGTCTCAAACTCCCGGCCTCAAGTGGTCCTCCTGCCTCAGCCTCCCAAAATGTTGGGATTACAGGAGTGAGCCACTGTGCCTGGCCACATGTATTATCTTACAATCCAGGCTATGACCTGGGGCATGGTCCCCCATTTTGCAGGTGAGGAAATTGAGACTCGAGGAGGTTCAGTAACTTCCCCAAGTTCATGTGTCCTAAGCAAAGCTGTTACCTAAACATTTTGGGCTTTAAATTTGGGTTCTTTTTTTTATGGCACCACACTGCCTCCTAGTTTCTTTGGTGGAAACACTTGGGGGGACCCATGCAGGCTTTCTGTGATCAAAGCCATTCCCAGGCCAGTTTACCTGGGTCACAGGCTTTCAGATACATTAGAACTGGCTGGGGACCCCTGAGCCCCTTCCAGCGCTGTTATTCTGTAGTTGAGAAGAGATGTTTTAGAGAGTGAAGTGATTGCCAAGATTGGACAGAGAATTTGTTTGCTAATTCTTTTAGGTATTTGTTGAGTGCCTATCGTGTGCCAGTATTAGAACACATGATAAAGCAATGAACAAAAGACAAACATTCTGATCTTCGGGGAGCTCAAGTGGAGGTTTCCATATTTCTGTGCTCTAACTTTCCTCTTCCTCCCTAAGCTTCTAGACAGCTCTTTTGTCCCTCTGTGGACTCAGGGAATGCAAAGTAATTTTAGTATAATGTTTTTTGGGTTGAACTGAAGGAGATAGGTGAATCAGCAGAGGAAGAGAAGTTATGTAATTGATTCCAAAACCGAGAGAAAAGATACTTGGTTGGCTTATTTGTTTTTAATATGTATTCTTTTTATTTCTTTGAGCACATGGTATATGTCAGGTACTGTTCTAGGTCCTAAGAATTTTGCAAGTGAACAAGACTCTGAAGGTGTTGGCGGTTGAGTCACACACCCAGTAGTGGTGGGAGGTCATGGTTTGACTCCTTGGTGATTATCAACCCATGATCTGAACATTTCTTCAAGGTAGGTGAGTGTTAACTGGTCACGGTGGTCCCCATTTATCCTCAGCCTGTCAGGCCAGTGGTGTTGCTGTGGGGTACCAAGATGGCATCGCACCCTCCTGAAATGATGAATGCTCACCTGCTCCATTTCTGCTCTCTGAAACGTATTTTCTGATTCTTTGCTCCACGGAAGTGCCCTAAACATTGGAGTTTTTACATAACAGCTTTTCTTACTTATCCAGCATTTCTGTCACCACCTGCAGCTTTTGCCACAAAAACACAGTGACCTCTACAGCCGGGAAGAAGAGTAGGTGGAGTCTGGCCAAGGATGCCAGGGAAACCTTATGTTTATAAAAAGCTCTCTGTAGGTCAGTGAGGGCATGCAAAACCTTTCCATGTCCTCTGTAGGAATCCTAGGTGCTTTTTTAAAGGAAAGACTGTTTTAAAGCGTGAAGGGCTTTGAGTTATTTTCCCATTAGCATTTTATCAGTCGATAACCTCTAAAATCCCTTCTGACTATGAGAGTCTCCCTGGCCCTGGTTTCTTCTGCAGCCTCTGCTTTACCTTCAGTGATGGGGAACTCACTACCAGACAGGGTAGCCCATTTCTGTTTTAGACAGAGCAGCTATAATCTGTGTTCCAGGTATTACCATCACCAACTGGGAAGACTTCTTCCTATGACAGCTTTTTTTTTTTTTTTTTTTTTTGAGGGGAGGGTAATTATAGCAACTCATATATGTCTCTGTTCTTCCCATAAAACTCTCCCCACCTCCACCAGTGGGTTTACGTTTAAAATAGCCTCTGTTCTGTTTTGGAAGGCATCTCCCTGGCTTCTGGTTTGCCAATGTTCTTCTGATAATGTGACTTCCACAACTGACCTCCAACCCCCACTTTTTGGCCTGGCCCCTTTGAAGCGCCTGGAGTTGGCAGAGGGAGAAGTGTGGCGGGTGGAAGACGCTCTTGAGTCAGGAGCTGGCGGTGATCCGCTTTGCTCTGTGGTAGGTATTAACTGCGTTCCCAGGCCTGTTTCCTGCTCCCAAATGCCAACATCCCTGCCTCTTAAGTGAGGTTTAGCTTAATCCCCAACCTTACCTAAATGTTATTTCTTTGATTATTCAGAGCTGTGGGCGGAATTTCCCTGTGTCGTTGAGAGCGTAGGTGGGGACACACTGCTGGGATGCCCTCCCCACTTGCAATCCTCTCTTGCATCCATCGTCCCCACAGCGCTGTCCAGCTAGGATGGTACTGGTCTCCCAGTGTTGTTCGTTCGGATGTCTTCAGAGGTCAGACTGGGCATCCTCCTCACTTTACCAGCAGGGGATACTGAGGCCCAGGGGATGGAGGTTATGCCATCTCCCCTTCTCCTGTCAAGCAGCTGGAAGCCCTGGAGCAAGGTGTGAGCTGCAACCCTGGAGAAATGGTCTGTAGTTTAGCAGTTGTGGAGTTGCTCACGAAGCTTCCAGTTGGTCATCCAGTCAGCCGGCACTGGGATTTGCACAGAAGCCCTGAGACTCTGCCCTTGCCCTCCTGGCCTCCTGAGCTGGGTGGGCTGGTTCAGCTTCAGGGGAACACC
This sequence comes from Homo sapiens, assembly GCF_000001405.40. Classification (NCBI taxonomy): domain Eukaryota; kingdom Metazoa; phylum Chordata; class Mammalia; order Primates; family Hominidae; genus Homo; species Homo sapiens. The sequence goes on along the minus strand of NC_000001.11, from coordinate 54,358,342 downwards.
TGATAAGCCCCCAAGAGTCCACCGTATCTAAATACTGAGGGTCTGTTGCACACAAGGTAGAAATGGAGCCCGGTCAGAGTATGGCATTGAGTTGCCAGTTAAGAGGTACTCCTTGAGGTTAGGCAGGCGTGTTAGTCTTCATTTTGTATGTGCAGTGCCTGGCACATAGTTAAGTGCCCAATGAAGATAAGCTTGGTGGCAGCCTGCCCATCTGGTGGGTTAAAATGGAAAAAGCTCCTTCCTTTTTAGCTCGAAAATGTTCTTAGAGCTCCTGTCCTGTCCCAGATGCTGCAGAGGGCTATTGAGGTGCTGTCTCAGCCCTGCCCACGAGTGGATTAAGGAAGGAGACCCTTCTGTAAGAACACTGCACCCTCATGCCTGGATGGTATAGTGTAGGTGTGGAAGTGCTGTTTGTCCATCTTCCTTTACTTTGGAGAGTCCACCTTTGATGGGTCCTCTGGAACCTGATGACTGCTGTGCATGTGGAAAGACTGGGAGGCAGGTGAACATGCTAGCAAAAATCATCCCTGCTCCCTGGGTGCCAGGCCATTTGTGGTGTGTCTTATTACTTGGCAAAGAAGACATTAGGACTTCATTTATTTTGTGAGAGAAAAGGTCTTGCTATGTTAACCAGGCTGGCCTGGAACTCCTGGGCTCAAGTGATCCTCTGGCCTCAGCCTCCTGAATAGCTGGGACTACAGGTGTGCACTGCTGTGCGCAGCTTAGGACATTAGGACTTTAATTCACTGGACTGGATTTCACCCCATGGGTCCCCTGTGGATGGGGGAGAGGTGGAGGTGGTGGGGCTGGCTGGGGAGCAGGAGGATGAGGTGGCAAGGATGTGCAGGGTTGAATTTTCTCTCTTTTCTTCACAAATAGTGCTAGCACCCTTATGGTACACCCTACCCCCAGCCCCCAAAAAACTTACTGAAGCACTGCCCACCCCCACATTGACCTACCTTCCTTCTCCTGCCTGCCTGACTTTGTAAGTGAGCCCCTAGCTTTTTGTCAGGAGTGGGGGTGTGGATCTGTGTGTAGCAGGGTGGCCTCATTTGTCGAGTGCCCACCCTGGGCCACTGTGTTAGGCAGTCACGATTGCTGCAAAGCCTTTAATTAGCGTCCCAGGTTGCCTGGCTGCCTTCCTCACTCGCACTGCCTTTTTCCTTTTCTCCCTTCCCCTCCTAGCCCCTTTGGCCTTCTGTCTCCTCTCACTGGGGACTCAGACCTCTCTTCCTGTCTTCCCTCCCTCCCTTCCTAGGGGCCTTTCCTTGATTCTCTGGGGAAACCAGATAGGCCTCTGTTACCCCTGTGAGCCCTGTTCCCTCCACCCAGAAGATGTGGAGTGAGGTGAGGGGCTCTACCCCCAGCGGTGAGACTGTGTCAGGCCTTTCTCTGCGTCTGTGTGATTTTATGAAGTCTGTCTTGTCAAAACCAAGAGGCTGAGGAAAGTCCCTACATTTATTCTTTGAAGATCTCTTGAACGCTGGTTGCTGAGCACAAAGCAGGTGGGGCGGGTGGAGGAAGACTTCCTGAAATGGAGAGAAGGCGAGTGGACACCCGATGACTTGTAGATATGTGGGTAGAATGCTGGAGGGAGAAGCGGCTCCTGGGGCACCCGTGCTTGGCCCCCTTTGGATGTCGGCTCCCTTTGCAGCTCCTAAGCTCTGTGTTTGGGGTGGGAGCGGCTGCGAGGCGGTGGGGGGCTTGTTTGGCAGACGGCGCCCATCAGACAACTGGAAAGTGCCAGTGCCTGCGTGGCCATCTGTCCCCGCCGCCTAGCTCCCGGCCGCCTTCTGCTTCCCACAGAAGGGCCCGCGCTGTTCTGTAGCACAAGGGCACGGGGCCTGGCCGGGAGGGGCAGGCACAGTTCCATTTTGCCATTGTTTATTCCCATCTCCTTTGCAGCTCCTGCGCTTGGGAGTTGCCAGGTGCGTGAAAAGTTTGCTGCGCCGTGGCCGATCAGGTTGTTTGGTGGGGCGCTGGCGGGAAGGAAAGGTGGAAGTGTGCGGCGTTTCCTTTGCACCGTGTCTGTTTGTTCAACTGTGGACTTTCACCCCTCCCCCTGGCTGCTGGTTTTCTTTTTTCTTGCTTTAATTTGTAAAAACGCACCTAGAGCAGGCCAGCTCCCCGGGATTTGGGCTCATCTGCACGCTACCCTCTCCGAGCTAGTTAAAGGGTTAAAAATTATGGGGAAGTTCAGCCGGCACTTGCAAGATATGGTTGCCGTAGCAACAGGCCTTCTAATCTGGTAGGTGACCTGAGAGACTGGAGAAGATGTAGGGGTTGGTTTGGCATTTCATTATTTCATGAGGCTGCCTCTCCAGCTGGTTTCTCTGCTGAGCTTAAAGCTTGCTGTTCCTGCCACTAGAATTACTGGCACATTCCAAAACAACAGTGTTGATGGCACGAGCACTGCGTTAATGGGGTCTGGCCAGGCAGGGTGGGCGGAGGAGAGGGAGCTGGGTTCCAGGAGCCCTCACGTGGGATCGTGTCCCCTCGCACAAAGCGGGAGGTGTGGATAGAGGGATGTACGCAGGGGTTTGCCCTCCTGCATACAATAGCCGCCTTCTTGAAACACCACCTCACGTAAAGAGGGACTGGCTTTTTAGGAGGACTTTAAGATAACTCCTTTAGTTTTCCAAGAAGCCTCCTTAAATTTGGGAGGCAGGGGAGCTCTCTGAATTTGGGGGAGAGGCTGGACGCGGTGGCTCAACACCTGTAATCCCAGCACTTCGGGAGGCTGAGCCGGGTGGATCACTTGAGGCCAGGAGTTCCAGACCAGCCTGGCCAACATGGTGAAACCCTGTTTCTACTAAAAATACAAAAATTAGTCACGCATGGTGGCACGTGCCTGTACTCCCAGCTACTTGGGAAGTTGAGGCGGGAGAATCGCTTGAACCAGAAGGCAGAGGTTACAGTGAGCCAAGATTGTGCCACTGTACTCCAGCCTGGGCGACAGAGTGAGACCCTGTCTCAAAAAATAAATAAGTAAAATAAATTTGGGGGAGATCTCCCTGTAATGTCTGTGGTTGGTGCCCTCCTCTTGTATTTATCTCCAGATAGATATTGTCCAGAAATTCGGCTTAGTTGAGCACAGTAGCCTCATGTCTGCTGTGTGCCCAGCACAGAGAGGAACAGGACAGAGAGTGCCTGGTCTCATTCATTCTCTCATCAGACGTTTGTTGGACGCCGCATGTGGCAGGCATTGCAGAGAAGGGGCAGGTCACACCGTTGTCCTGGCCTGAGAGCCTCCCATTGTGTGAGGGACCTTCAAAGCAAGAGCAGGAGAGGAGGAGGAAACAACCCAGCCTCACCCTCCCCTTCCTTTTAGAGGGACCTTGTGTCGAGGGCAGTAAGCAGTCTTCTGGCCTTGGAAAGGCATGAGGCATTCATGATTTTTCATTCACCTTTCTCTTTTCTACCCCTTTGCTCTTGGCTGTAATTACTGGGAAGTCCACAGGCTGGGTAGATGGCATGTACAGATGATGTGTTCTGAAGTCCACTCCTCCCTAAGGCACCGTGTCTTAACACAGAGTTGTGTGTTACATTAGGCCCAGGTTCACAGGGATCTCCGATTGGTTGGCTTCCTGGGTTTCTTGTTTTTTGAATTTCTTTCCCCTGGAGAGGTTAGTGTTCCTGGGATTTGTGAGGGAGCGGGGAGTGGGCTGGAGAGGAGCTTAGAGTACTTACTGGGACTTCAGGTGGCTCACTCCCCCTCCCCATCTCGGTTGTAAGCTCCTGGGGGAGAGGTCTGTGTGTTAGAGGCCCAGCAGGTCTTTGTGGAAGTTCCTTGCTCCCACGTTAGATGTGAACGCCGAGAACCACATGACAAGAGTGGTAGTGTGTACCCTCCTGGGGCTCTAGGATCCAGCAGGGCCACCTCCCCACTTCACCCACTGCCTCGTGTCTCTCCTGTAGTTCTCGGGTTTGCCGTTCAGTGGGGTGACCCTCAGAGTCCATTGAGGGTCCCAGCATTGGCTTATGTTTTGTGGGATTGGGTGGAAAGACTTGCCTCACTGTACCGTGTCATTGCTGGTCTGTCCACCTGCCCTGCATGTGGCAGGTGCCTGGGAAAGGCTGGCATGTGGTTTTGATGGGTAGGAGTTTGAGGGGCTGGGAGGTGCACTGATGCTGCAGAAAGCAGAGCAGACAGGCAGCCTTGTAAGGCTGTAGAGTCTGCAGACAGTGGTATGCGCTGGCTCCAGGCTTTCTAGATAAGATCAGGTTGCAGATAGTGAAATGGGAGTCCCATCTTTTGTTGGGCATCCTGGTGCAGCATTGGGATGTAGGAGTGCTCTTGCTGAGCCGGGGGAGTGGTCAGTCACTGACAGCCCTGGATCTGGGTCCAGTTCGGTTTCTAGTCCCTGTATGATTTGGGGAGTCAGTCCCCTCTGTGCTGCAGTCTCCTCCTCATCTGTAGAATGAAGGTGCTGACCTGATCATCTGCAGTCCCTCTCAGTCCCTCAGCCCATGTCTGGATGGAAAGAGAGATCTCAGCAGAGTCTATGCATTGCTGGACCTCAGACTGGTTTCTTGGTATAGAAGGTGGCTTTAGGGTTTATCTGGCTTGTGTGAATTTTGCCCCATTCAGTGTAGTTCCACAGGGTTTGCTGAATGCCACTCCCCTTGCCCTGGGCTGCAGCATGAGTAGGATGGGGCAGGCCAGCCCTCGAGAGCAGCCTCTGACCCTGCCTGTTTTTCTCTGACTTCCATGGAGCATGTGAGAGGGTGGCCAGAATTGGGATCTGACAATGCACCTGGGTCACCTGGATACTTGAAAACACTCCCATTCCCCTTCTGGGAGAAATCTTGACTTGGTGGGGCCAGCATAGAGGGTGCACAGGGTTTTTCAGAGTGGATACATCTCAGAGGAGCAAAGGGAAAAATCTTTAAGGCTGAAGCTTCTGAGGATGGCCTGGCCACATGTGTGTAAGTCACAGGGCAGGAGCGGGGGTGTTGAGCTGAAGATTTTCTGGAACCTGTAGGATCTGAAAGTAGAGGTGATCTTCCAGTTTACCCTTTCAGCTTGGATTTTGGCCTGCAGTTTTTCCCCTCGCAATGGGCCTGATTTCGACGGAAAGAATGGGTCTGCCCTATTCCAATTAGAGTGTCAGGGCCTTGTTAGATGCAAAATAAATAAAACAAACTTGTGTATCCAGCTCTAAAACTGGCTGGGGCCCTCTGAGAGTTGTCCTCCCTGTGGCAGGGGTGTGTGGGGACCTGTCCAGGGAGCGCCTGCAGCTGGAGCCCCCGTGCAGGCGAGGAAACCAAGGGGATGGCATGACGGTCTGAGGACACGGCGCTGTCCGGTCGGGCCGCCTCCCCGCGTCACCTACTGCCTCCTGTCTCTCCTGCAGTTCTCGGGTTTGCCATTCAGAATCCGTTGAGGGGCCCGGCGTCGGCTCACATTTTTTGGGACTGGGTGGCTTTTGTGCTCTGTTGAGAGGGATCTGGCTTGAGCCCCATGGATTGTGTTGAGGTTCCTCTGTCATTAGTCATCCTGTTTTAGAGTGGGAAAAACATGACAGTTTACTCTCAGATTGAAGTTTCCGAGCAGTTGATTGAGATGGGAGTTCTGAGGTTTTGTGTTGTCTGCACGTTTCTGTTAGCATTGATGATGGCAGTGAGCACAGTGCTGATCACGCTAGATGCTCGCATGGTCAAACGGCAAGACGCAGCTTCTTCCTGCTGCACATCCTGCAAGGTGAGGCTCATGAGATGACGGCCATCCCGCCCTCCCCTTGCCTTGTTCCATTAACATTACTATAGTAAGACCCCATATGGATGACTTTCTCTTCTGGAGGCTGGGAGGTGAAGGCAGGGGAGGAAGGGGTTTGAAGCTGAGATGAAGCCTCATAGGAAGTGGGATGACCCAGTGGGGACCGTTTCTGACAGAAGGTTCCTCAGGGGTGTTTTATGGAGAAGTCACTTGAAGAAGCCACCTTACCAGTCAGCCAAGAAGTTTGGATCCATTTGGCCTCTCTGGAGATTGCCACTTAGTAGGATAACAAGGTAATTCCCTGCTAGGTGAAGTAGGACTTGAATCAGTTCTATCAAGCTTCCTAAGGCACCTTGTGCTGCTTCCGAAGTTTTAGGCTTTTGGTCCTTTTATGTACCCTGAGCCGTGTCTAGCCCAAGGCTCTTCAGACTGAGGGGACTGTTTTTTTTGGGGGGCGGGGGTGGGGTTTGGTTGTTGTTGTTGTTTGTTTTGTAGAGATAGGGTCTCACTATATTGCCCAGTTAGGTCTTAAACTCCTGGCTTCAAGGGATCCTCCTGCCTCGACCTCCCAAGTAGCTGGGACTACAGGCATGCGCCACCAGGCCTGGCCAAGATCGGGGGTCTTCATGTGTTTTGCCTTCCATGCTGTGGAAGCCTGTTGGTTTGCTGGAGTTCACACTGCTCTTTAGCTCACCAGGAGCTCCTTCTGGAGAATAAACATACAGATGTTTGGATGGGTGGGTGGATGGATAGATAGGCAGCGTGCTGAGCTGGGCCAGATCGAGTCAGGAGTCCTTCCCAGATGGCACTGGGGATGTTTCTACAGCTGGTGTACAGGCAGCAAGCCGGTCCCAAAACAGGGGCTCCCATAAAGGCCCAGCGAGGTCACTCCGTGGGAGTAATCTGCTAGAGGTTCATCCCTGCTAGCTTGGCCTGTTGAGGAACCCTGTCTTAGGTGAATATCCCACACGCCAGAGGAACATGAAAAGATGAAGGAAGATTGTTGTTAAAGTTTCATTTATATTTAGATTATCATAACATTACTCTTGAGATCTGTGACTTTTAGCATTTGTGGCCTCAACAATTCATAAGTGACTGGAGTCATTTATAACCTTCCTGAGCATAACTTGAATTTTGGCCCAGGAGGTAGGTGGGCCCGTGAGTCACTGATATGGTGGGTCAGCCTTTCTGGCACCCCCGGCTCTTCAGGCTCTGCCTGTTTCATACATAATCTAATTTCATCCTTCCGGTAACCTTGGGAATGGGGTATAATTGCTGCCATTTTATACCTGAGAGAACAGAAGAAGTTATGTGTTCTGTACTCGTTCATTTTGAAAAGTAGGAGGAAGGAAGAAAAGAAAGTCACCCACCACCAGGACTAACTTTGTGCTAACTTTTCGAGTATTTCTTTTCAGGCTGTTTTCCTACTTTTACTTTACTTTTTTCACATCATCTTCTTCTGGTCAGAAAATTCTCATTATAAAAAATAGCATTTAAGGCTGGGCACGGTGGCTCACACTTGTTATGCCAGCACTTTGGGAGGCCGAGGTGGGCAGATTGCTTGAGCTAGGAGTTCGAGACCAGCCTGGGCAACATAGCGAGACCCCCATCTCTACAAAAAATACAAAAAGATTAGCTGGGCTTGGCGGCACGTGCCTGTAGTCTCACCTACTCAGGAGGCTGAGGTTGGAGGATTGCTGAGTCCAGGAGGTTGAGGCTATGATTGCACCACTGCACTCCAGCATTGGTGACAGAATGAGACCCTGTCTCAAAAAAAAAAGCATCTGAGAAGCTGTGCGGGTTCTATTTCTGTGTCCAGACTCTTGAGTTTATTTACACGTTGATATGATTTTTGGATGGTCATGGTGTGGGTTCTCCTGCCTGTCCCTGGGCTGCTGCTGCCCCCAGGGCAAGAATGGTTTATTCAGCTCAGCTTCCCAGGCTGAGACATTCAGACCCAAGCAAGGCCTTTGTGTCTAAAGTAGTAGTTGATTGGAGTGCTAATGAATCAATTAGAAAATTACTTGCTGCTGAGCTCCTCAGCCAAACCCGGGTTGTGCACATGTCTTAGAAAACCATCTGAAGGCCATACGCGTATAAATCTCTCTTGGCTGTGGCCCTCGTAAATCTCACCACAGCCTTTCTTGGACCTGTTAATCACTTGAGAAAAACAGGACTACTTCTGCTTTGCAGGGCTGCCTTGTGCTTGGCACAGTTTTCTAGCTTGTACCTCTTCCACGGATGAGAAAGGAGACTAGAGTTCCTAGTAACAGCGCTTGTTCCGCACTTTCAAAAAGAAGCATTCAGGGGCTGCTCTTGTGTTTTGTCTCTACAGCAACCCTGTTGGGAGGCACTATTATTATTTTGCCCATTTTTATGGATGGCACAGTTGGGGCTCAGAAAGTGTAAGCAACCTGTTCTCAGGTCACCACCTAAAAGGAAGCAGCGGTGAAGGCTTCAGCTTCCCAGATCTTCACACTGTCACTCTGCTGAGATGCCTTTTCACGTGGATGCTCCTACTTAATATATCTTGGTGGGTTTTCATAGTCCCAGGTTGGCGTGGCAGGTGAGGCACAGCCAATAGAGGTGGAAATGGTAGAGGCATTTCTGGTTAAGTACCCAGGGTTGGGGTTTAGAGCGGTTTAATTTGGGGCAGAAGGGTTCAAATGACAGCCAACAGCAGAGGCTAAAGGGACCCCAGGTGGGAGATGTACCAGGGGCTCCAGATTGCCAGCAATTTGTGTTATGTATTCCAGGACACTCGCCAGGTAAGGTTGAACCTAAAATGGAAATGAGGAGAGGAGAGGAAAGTTAAAAGATGAAATGGCTATGAATCCCAGCTGAAGCGGGAGGCATTTCTTGAAAAAGATATCTGTAAAATAATGATTTTGATTTTTTTTTTTTTTGGCCCATCCACACTGTTTCCTCATTGGATACCCACCTCTTGTGACCCCCAGCCATCATTTCATGAGCGAAACTAAGGTGGCATGGCTAAACCCTTACCTGCTTCCTGTAAAAGCCAACATGCCTTTTCAAGGCTGAAGCCTGAGGGAGCTCTGTGCTGGTCTCCTCTTTGATTTTGGCTTCATTTGGGGGGAACCAGTAGCCTTTTGTTCCCAGGATATGGGCCAAGGCTGCTTGTTTCATAACTTCATAGTATGCTCTTCTGTCCCCAAGATGGTCAGTGTATCATGCAGTTTTGATATTTCTGCATCTAACCTTAAGGGCATTGGATGCCCGGCAGTTGTTTTGCTCACATAACAAACAAACATTTGGGTGCCTACTGTGTGCCAGGCACCGCTGTAGGTGCTGGGAATGCCGCAGGGAACAGCAGAGGAATATCCCTGCCTACCTTGTGGAGCTGACATGCTGGTGGATGGTACAGAGACCTGGTTGGGTCTCAAGCTCTGGGTTGGAAGATATGACCCTAATAATTCTAATCTCTCCTCCATAGTGGCTCTTTTTGATGTGCCCAACATTATGCTGGGTGTTTTATATTTGTTAATCATGTTCCATCCTCAGAAGAGCTTTGTTCAGACAGGTAATTGTCATCTTATCTTTGCAGACGAGGCTGCTGAGAACACATAATGGGTAGGTGCTTACCTGTTTCTTGTCGAATGGGTGAAGAGCAGCAGCTTGCTGGTCATCGGGCTGGGTTTTTAGCCTGGTTCTGGCTCTCAACAAGACACTAGGCTACCTCTCCCAGGCTTTACCGGCCTAATTTTGTGACTTGCCTTGAGTGTAGGTGAGTGCCAGAGCAAGGAGAGGAGGTGAGATTTAGAGGCCACTCACTTCCGCAGCCCTGTGAACTCACTTCCAAGGCCTTGGCCTTGCTCTTCCAGGCACATTGGTGCCTCCATCTGAGCTGTATCTATGGTGGGGAAGTGAGTGGGATGCATCTGCCCCGCTGCCCCATGACCACAGACCCTAAGCTGGCACAGGTGAGGCAGCGTGTAGAACCTTGCACCACATCTATCTGCCCAGCCATCTCCTTGGCCTTCCAGTATTGACTTGGCCCCAGCAAGTCCCCGGTATTGGAAATCCAAAACAAATAAAGCCCAACCCCTGGACGGAAGTGGGCTGGTATTCTCACTGTGGGAGCTTGAAGTGCGGCAGCTGTGTGGGTAGCCAGTGCTCTGGGTGTCACCTGTTTGGCAGGCTGTTGGAGGCTGTCCCAGGCAGACCTCAGGTGTGTGAGGGAGAAAGTTAGAAGCATGTGACTGGCTGAGGGGGCAAGGCAGGAGGATGTCTACTTCCTGTTGTTGCTTGTGTGTCCTCTTGACCCGCAGGCTCCTTTTTGAACCTTTTCCTTTTTCTCTTTCTTTCTGCCCACTCTCTGCTAATTTCCACCTGTCCTCACCCGCCCCCCCCCCCCCGCCCCCCATGCCTTCTATTTCCCAAACCTTGTGGGTTACCTCAGACTTTCCTTGGCGGTTCTCAGTTGGCGGACTGAGGGGCAGAGTCCGCCACCCGATAAAGATGACTTTGTGTCTCTGTCCCCAGATGGATATGGGGACTCTGACCTCTCCGGATGGTGTTTGCAGAAGGTCGTGGTTGGTTGCACGGAGTCATATAATCCTGAAGTGGCAACAGTGCACACAGTGAGGAAAGGGGTGGGTGATTGGGTGGCTGAGAGTGTTGAGAGCCTTGGAGTGAATGATTTCCAGACCTGTTAGTTTTCTAGACGCAGTAACAAAGTACCACAAACTAGGTGGCTTTAAACAACAGAAACTTAGTCTCAATGTTCTGGAGGCTGAAAGTTCACGAGGAAGGTGCCCGCAGGGCCATGCCCTCTGAAGGTTCTAGAGGAGCATCTGCCCATGCCTTTCTCTTATCTTCCAGCGTTGCTGCAATCCTTGGCATTCCTTGGCCCCTAGGACTCCAATCTCTGCCTCTGCCATCACATGGCACCTCCCTGTGCATCTCATTTTATATTCCCCTCATTTCATATGGATACCAGTCATTGCATCAGGACCCACCCTAATCCAATATCACCTCATTTTTGCTAAGTGATACTTGCAAAAGGATGTAGAATCGGCCTTCCACATCTGCAGGTTCAGCCAGCATTTGCGGATTCAGTAATCAAAAATATTCAGGGGAAACAAACCAACAAAAAGAATACAGGCCTGGTGTAGTGACTAATGCCTGTAATCCCAGCACTGTGGGAGGCTAAGGTGGGAGGATTGTTTGAGGCTAGTAGTTCAAGACCAGCCTGGGCAATATAGCAAGACCCCATCTTTTTTTTTTTTTTTTAAAAAGGGGACAAATTAAAAAACAGCCTAACAACTATTTACCTAGTATTTATATTGTATTAGATATTATAAGTAACCCAGAGATGATTTAAAGTATATAGGAGGGCTGGGCACGGTGGCTCACACCTCTAACCCCAGTACTTTGGGAGGCCAAGGTGGGAGGGTTGCTTGAAGTCAGGAATTCAAGACTGGCTTGGTTAACATAGTGAGACCCCATCTCTATGTAAAAATTAAATAAATAAATTAGCTGGGTGTGGTGGTGTATGCCTGCAGTCCCAGTTACTTGGGAGGCTGAGGCAGGAGGATTGCTTGATCCCAGGAGTCCAAGGATGCAGTGAGCTGTGATCACTCCACTGCACTCCAGCCTGGTGCAGTGTCTGAAAAAAATTTTAAAATGTATATGGGAGGATGTGTGTGCACTCTGCCATTTTATGTAAAGGACTCAAGCATCCGAGGATTTTGGTATCTGTGAGGTGGGGTTGGGGAGTAAGGGCCTGGACCCAATCCCCCAAGGCTGCCATAGGAGACTGTATTTCTATTTTTTTTTTTTTTTCCTTGAGATGGAGTCTCACTCTATTGCCCAGGCTAGAGTGCAGTGGTGCAATCTCGGCTCACTGCAAGCTCCGCCTCCCGGGTTCACGCCATTCTCCTGCCTCAGCCTCCCAAGTAGCTGGGACTACAGGTGCCCACGACCATGCCCGGCCAATTTTTTTGTATTTTTAGTAGAGATGGGGTTTCACCGTGTCAGTCAGGATGGTCTCGATCTCCTGACCTCGTGATCCACCCGCCTTGGCCTCCCAAAGTGTTGGGATTACAGGTGTGAGCCACCGCGCCTAGCCAGGAGACTGTATTTCTAAATAAGAGCCCATTCACAGGTACTGGGGGTAGGAGTTGAGCATATCTTTTGGAGGTACACAATTCAACCCCCAGCATAGGGTGACAGTGCCAGGCCCCAAATCAAAATTCAAATTCCTGTTACAAGGGGACCTAAAGATCTTAATCTACTCTGTAACTTTAGTCAGTACAGTAATTTTTTTTTTTTTTTTGGAGATGGAGTCTAGCTGTGTCACCCAGGCTGGAGTGCAGTGGCCCGATCTAGGCTCACTGCAACTTCTGCCTCCCAGGTTCAAGCAATTCTCCTGCCTTAGCCTCCTGAGTAGATGGTACTACAAGCACATGGTGCCGCGCCTGGCTAATTTTTTTTTTTTTTGAGATGAAGTCTTACTCTGTCACACGGCTGGAGTGCAATGGCACGATCTCAGCTCACTGCAACCTCTGCCTCTTGAGTTCAAGCGATTCTCCTGTCTCAGCCTCCTGAGTAGATGGGAGTACAGGCGTGTGCTGCCACACTTGGCTAATTGTTTTTGTTTTGTTTTTTTTTTTTTGTATTTTTGTGGAGACGGGGTTTCACCATGTTGGCCAGGCTGGTCTCGAACTCCTGACCTCAAGTGATCCACCCGCGTCGGCCTCCCAAAGTGCTGGAATTACAGGCGTGAGCCACCGTGCCCAGCCTAATTTTTTGTATTTTGGTAGAGACAGGGTTTCACCGTGTTGCCCAGGCTGGTCTCAAACTCCTGAGCTCAGGCAATCTGCCCGCCTCAGCCTCCAGGATTACAGGTGTAAGCCACCGCGCCCAGCCTCAGTACAGTAATCTTCTGTTAGGAATCTGCTCTGTGCCATGGTCAGGGCTTGGTCAGGCACAGAGACTTTGCTTGGCGTTTGGGGTGAGACGCTAGTTACTTCTGTGGAAACCAAGGATTTTAAAGGAAATCTTAAAAGGAGATGTTCATGCAAGCACTTCAGAGAGGGCCTTTGAAATGCGGAAGGCTTTTCTTTTCTGCCCTATTACTTTTGAGGCCAGCTGGCTCAGGTGAGATTACTCTTCCTTCTCTCTGAAGGAAGGTGTGGGGAAAGGAGCTGGGACCATGGGCTTAGAGGTTCTTCCAGTGCCTTGGTCTTTTCCCTGGATGGGAGGGCTGAGACTCGGGTGGTTTTTAGAGTGCGGCTCTTGGTGTCCTCTCTTCCAGGCTGCCTTGGTAGCTGGGAACTGTTTTATTGGAAGGGCAAATATTGCGTAGTGTCAATAAGGATGTTTTTTATGGGGGCTCCTGTGTTTCTGCAGTGGATAAGCATGAAGAAGCCAAGTGTAAGTTAGTTTCTAACGGCTGGGTTCAGCCCTTTTTCTTCCCTTGCAGAAGTTTCCCATCCGAGCAGAGAGAACTGAGACTGAGCCTGCTGGCCACGCACGAGAACTCTTGTAACTTTCTAGTCTCCCCGTGTATCAGGAGAATTTCCGCACAGATGACAGGAGTGGAGTAGAAAGCATTTGTAGCCATTGTATTGGAGGAAACAAGTGTAATATAAATAGGAAGTCTGAATTATACGTCTCCTCAGTGCTGTGAGGAAAAACCACACGCACCAAATGCAATTTACAGCTGTACGCACGTGGACTAATGGGCACTGTCTGCCAGCGACGCGCTCAAGCAGTGGGAGACCTTGTTGTGTTAATTTCTTTCTTTTTAATTTGAGACAATGTCTTGCTGTATTGCCTAGGCTGGTCTCGAACTCCTGAGCTGAAGTGATCCTCCTGCTTTGGCCTCCCAAAGCATTGGGATTACAAGTGTGAACCACCCAACCTGAGAACCTGTTCTCTGTTGCTATCTCTCATCTCTTTGCTCCTTTCTTCCCACCCACAAAAACAGAAAAAAAGATTGATCGGATGTTTCCCCCAATTCTTTCCTCTCTTTACAAGGCCTTGCCTGTACTGACGACACCGAGTGTGTTAAGAGGTGATGGGATTAGCTGCCCCAGCAGTCATCACGGGGAAGCAGAGCCCATCTTTATGCCCCTAAATGAATCACCCACAGAAGTGTCTTGAACATATTCGAATCACCCCATTCTCTATTCCCAAAATGATACCTTTTCTGGGAGTGGCTTGAATCATTCATTCTCAAAAGGGGGCTTCAAGAGCCTACTTTGGGCAGAAGCACAAGTATTTATTATGCCAAGACTGTGTGCAGTGCATAGCTGTCTTTGTAAGTAGATTGGTTTTGTGTCTTCTTTCCAGTGGATGTATATGATATATGTTCACTGTGAAGGAAATTAGATAATAAACGTAAACAAAACTCTGGTAATTCCACTTCTCAAAGATTAATATTGTTCATATCCTGATTCATGTCTTGGTGTGACTTTTTTTTTCCTCAACGTTTCTCTGCCCTTACAAGCTCAAGTCCAGTAGGGTAATGTCAGTCCACTGGAGTGACTGAGCCCAGGTGTCTAATCAGGGGCACCTCTTGGCCATCATGCCCCGCACCCCCAGGTGCTACCTCAGTTGCCAGGTACTGAGCTTCCCACCATCTCTTCTTTTTCTCCTTCGGGTCTTCTTGGATCCCATGGAAGTACAGACTACTCTTCCTCAGTTTCTTGAGTTGCATGTCCTCTTCTAAAATTCCGGAACCTGTGTTAACACACTTCCCTGCTAGTGGCTCTCCTAGCCCCTTCTCCTGGTCCAAAGCTTTTTGTGATTGATGTTGCCAAGAACCAATGTCTTTCCTTTGGGTAGACGGGGTGGGGTGTAATCCTTGCTCCAGATCCTAGAGTTCAGGACTGCTGTGCCAGGGTGACCTTATGTGTGTCAAGTAGATATAGTTATATGAAGCCATGGTTTGTAACCTTTATGGGGCCGTAGATACCTGGGAGACTGAAATTCATTGCCCTCCTCTCTGAACACTGCACATTCACATGTATTCAAATAATTGTGCGCCATAAGGCCAGGGGTTGGGGTTTGCAAACCCTCTGAAGCCCATCCCTGATCCCCTTCAGAGGCAGACCTGCTCCCCTGCCACTGGGTGGCCTGGACAGCTGGCATGGCCTCTTAGTGTCCGTTTTACCTTCAGTAGGATAGCTACAGTGATAGTCACCGTGTGGTTTGATTATAGCAGCAGTTCATGTCTACTGAGCTCTGATGTTGTTCACCCAGTCCCCACCCTGGCCCCATGAGGGGAAGGTACTACCACCCCTGTTCACAGATGAGCAAAGTGAAGCTCAGAGAGATGAAGTGACTTGTCCAGGGCCGTACAGTTAGATCCAGGATGGGGACCTAGGCAGGGTGGCTTCAGAACACATGCCAAACACCTGACACGCAGCGAGGAATGTATCACGTGTTCAATACATAAATGGTAGTAGCAATATGAAAAGCGGCAGAGGGTTAGGGCACAGCCTCCCCTCTTCCCCCCACCTGTCCTAAGTATCCCCCTGGTACAGGATCCGGGCTATGGAGCTCGCAGGCGGGTGGAGGCGAGCGCAGATCCGCCAATCCTGGGAAATGTGTAAAATCCTGTTCCTGAAAACCGGCCGGGTTCTCAAAGTGTCCCGGCTGGCGTGTTTTGCTAGTCACGAAACATGATCCATACGCTGTATTTTAGGACTCCCCATCTGTCGGCATCGGGGAGCGTTTTCCCTTGAGGAAGCTCAAAGCGTGTCAGCTCACTGGGAGGGGAGGCAGCAGAAGGGTCTGTGATAACAGAGTGGATCCAGAGGGCTGGGGTGTGGGAGACTCGGGGAAGGGTCCTGCCCAGGGTGTGCCAGGTGCCTTTCCGCATGACCTCACATAATTTTTACACAGATCCCCACGTTTTACTTAAGAATACTGAGGTTCAGGGAGGTTAGCTTCTTTCTTGTCCAAGGTTTCAAGGCTGCTAAGAGGCTGAGCAGCAGAGATTGAACTTGGGTTTTTAGATTGCCCAGTGTTCTCTGCCTTCCCCCAGTCTGTCCCTTTTGTTCCTGGGCTTTACCACGGTAGGTGGTGAAGGACAGGGTGTGGGAGGCCTTGCCTGGGAATGGGAGGGGGTGGGGAGGGAAGGCATAAATGCCTGGCTCTCAGGCCCACTTTGCAGAGAGCCCACACCTGCCCTGGCCCCACCCACTGCTCTGGTCACTGCTGGTGGTAGAGGAAGAGCTAAGAGGGCTATTGATCCACCCATCTCCTCCCAGGGAGGGAGGGCCACACATTCAGGGCTTTCTTTTTAAAAATGCATTAACCTGACCGTAAGAAGGCCCTGGTTTAAAAACAAATAAAAATAAGAAGTGAAACAAGTGGGCGTGGGGGCAGGAGTGGAGCAAACCCTTTGGAAAATGGAAAGGGCATTTGAGGAGGGCACTTTGCGAAGTACCTTCCAGTTCCAGACCTGGATGCCTGGACTCTGCAGCCTGGGCTGCGCTGCTTTCCTGTGCCTTGGGCCATCAGTACCTCTCCTGGTGCTCTCCGCAGGGAAACTTTGCCCAGATCCAGACATTCCAGGAAATCCCTCTGCGCGTGGCCTTACACAGTGTGGTGTCAGTCCGCATTTTGAAAGCCTGCCTTCGTAGCCCTGACTTGGACAACTTTGCCCTCCAGCCTCCTCCCTCTTTGCCCTCCAGCCACATTGGGCTTCTTTTGGTTTCTCAGAAGTGCCAGGTACTGGCCTTTGCACATGCTGTTCCTTCTGCGTGGAAGGTGCTTCTCTCCCCCTCTCTCTCTCCCTGCTCTCCAGGTTAGTACCTGCTCATTTTTCAGACCTCAGCCTACAGGGTACTTCCTAGGGACCCTGTCCGGCCCGCTGGCTGGGTCAGGCCTCCTGTCATGTACCCACTTGGCTCCCAGGACTTCTTTTTTTTTTTTTCAATCATTATACTTTAAGTTTTAGGGTACATGTTTCCTCCACAACCATAATAAAGGAATTAACATATTTTACGGCAGGTAGCAATTAAGCTCTGGGAAGGTAAGGACTGGGCTATCCTCTTTACTGTCCTGTTCACTTTTGCCCTTGGTCATCCTTGCCCAGCACAGCACTTACTACCATGGGAGCTCAGTAAATCCTTGTGGAATGAATGGATGGCAGGTCGGCATCTATTCTCTTTGGCCCATGGATGCAGTTTGGGTGAAGGCAAGGAAATAAACATTATAATCAGAAATCACTGTAATTTTTTAAGGTTTCTCAAGGTATGGGCCCACTGTGAGGTCAGGATATGGCTTCAGAGTGGAGCCCCCAACACATTAAAGGGGAGACGTCTGGCCAGCAGTCCACAAGGCCAGGGTGCTTAGCAGCATCCCAGAACAGGCAGGGACCTTGAAAGGTCTCTGCCAACATGTTGTCTTGGTAGGTGGAAAGACGTGGAGCCTAGAGAACAGAAAGCACTTTGCCAAGACCACACAACAGTAGGGCCTTGGGAGACCTCTACTTGAGCCTCAGTTTAATTGCGGAAAGAGAGTTAATCCAGCACCAGGTGCCAGCCGGCTTACTATGCAGACATTGTTTCACTGGCCTGGAGAGCGACTCAGTTTGGCAGCACCGATTTACAGAGGAGGGAATGGAGGCTTGAGGAACTTAAGTTGCTGGTCTCAAAACACAGCAGAGGTGGGATTGAAATTCAGATGTTCCTGATTCCATAGCCTGGTTCTTTCCACTGCCCTGCTTTCCAGCAGGGTGGAGTGGAATGACAGCCTTGTTTCTTGGATTGGCTCTGGTGGGGACCTTCTGCCTCCTCTTAGCCAGTGGGGCTGTACCTACTTGTAGGAGCCTGCAGCCCTCTGGGCTGGTATGGGAGTGTCCTGGGTGTTCATGGAGTCCATTTTTTCTCCCCAACCTTGTTTTACGTCGTTTCTGTCTCCTGCCTCTCCACCTCTGAAAGAACCTCAGAAATTCCTTTGTCCCCTTATCAGTCATTTCCCTGGGAAGCCACTGAGGATCCTGGAAAGGTACCGAGGGTGATGAAGCAAAATTTGCACCATTCCCAGAGTAACTTTCCATCATGCGTGGCTAAAAATAAAGTGTGTACTCATTTCTCCTTGCTGTGCGTGGACTTGCTTTTGGGGTTTCACGGGAGCCACTTGGCCCTTTTGTCCCTCCCTCCCTGCCACCCCTGGACAGGCATATGCCCACAACTTGGGGAGATGGGTGGGCTTGAAGCTGCTCACATCTCTGGAGAGCAGAACCCCTGAGCCTCTACAAGGAAGCACCTCTGGCTCTCAATGGCAGCAAACACCACATTGGTGGGTTGGCACTTTGGCATATGCGGGGATACCGACTCCCTTTGCAAATATTACTGCAGCCGAAAAGAGACAAGCTACCTTTAGAGGACTTTCTTTGTGCAGGGTGTTTCTTTTTGATATCTGGAATGCACAGAGGCAAGAGAGATAAAATTAATTTGTTCAATTAATTTTGTAAATATTGACTGAACCAAAGTTTTATGCCAAGTCACATGTCAGGGACCTGAGAGCTTACCAAAAAGCAAATGCCTTCCTTGAAGGCGCTTATCCTCTAGGTGGGGGAAGAAAGGTGTGTTAAGAAAGAAGTAGAGCCAGAGAAGCATGGGGTCCTGCTCCTACCCCACCCTCCCTTCCAGCATTAGTATATGATGCTGAAGTTTATGTTTGACCTTTCCGCCTTTCCCCTTTCGTTCTTTCTTTTCTTTCTTTCTTTGATGGAGTTTTGCTTTTTTGCCCGTGCTGGAGTGAAGTGGCACGATCTCAGCTCACTGCAACCTCCGCCCCTTTGGTTCAAGCAATTCTCCTACCCTCAGCCTCCCAAGTAGCTGGAATTACAGGCGCCCGCCAACATGCCCGGCTAATTTTTGTATTTTTAGTAGAGATGGGGTTTCGCCATCTTGGCCAGGCTGGTCTCGAACTCCTGACCTCAGGTGAACTACCTGCCTCAGCCTCCCAAAGTGCTAGGATTATAGGTGTGAGCCACCATGCCCGGCTGATCTTTCCCCTTTCTTAAGGCACTAGAGATTCCCCTCTCCTGCAATGATGTTTTTTTTTTTAGTGGTTACTATGTGCTAGGGCTAGGCTAGTATTTTACTCGCATTTATTTCATGAACTCCGCAAGAGCCTGTGAAGTAATTACTGCTATCATTCCTGTTTTCTGGTTGATGAAACTGAGGCCCAAGGCCCCATAGCTAAAATGTTGCAGACAGGATTCAAATCTAAGCAGATTAATTTCAGAGCTCACGCTTCTAACCATTAGCTGTATAGACACATCCACACTGAGAATGTGTGTCTGCCAAGAATCTGCTATCTGTCCAGCATCAATTATCCTCAATAAGTGCTTTCTCTTTAAAAATCTTAACTATGCTTTCCATTTAATCCTTAACATTCCTAGTAACCCATGGGATAAGATAAGACCCCCTTCTCCCCCATTTCCTATTCTTTTTCTTTTTCTTTTTTTTTCTGTTACAGATTGCACCAAATGGTGATAGGTGAAGGGTCTCTGGAGAGGGCAGGATACTTTGGAGGCTGGAATTGAACCATGTTGTCTTAATCCAGAGCCTGTGGGAGAGAGAAGGCCCATGAAAGCACTCTGCAGACTGTAAAGTGCTACATGAAATAAAAGGCATGTGAGAAAAGGTGTGTGTTTAGAAGACTAGCTTTAACTTGGACCTCGTGCATCCTATTTGGGGATTTCTTGCACCGTCGTCATGATCTGGTTTCAGGTACCTGTGAAAAATTATGGTAATTAAAGTATAATTTAGAATACCCTGTTGGCTCACAGCAGCTGGTCCAGATGTAGGAGGCTGGGGCTGTTTGTTAGGGGTGTCACTCTCTTCTGCCCTTTGTGTTGTTGGGGAGAAGGGTGGGGGCAAAGAGATACAGGAGCTATTTTTACGTTGTTCACGTCATATTCAGAATTACTGGATGCTTGTGGTTGGGTCCCTGTTTAGCCTCGGCTGGGAAGAGAGAACTCCCTTGGCTGCCTGGGTATGTATGGAAACTTGAGCTCATACCCTTTAGTATATATATTGCCGTAAAGGCAAATGGACGCAGAGTGACCGGACAGTTACCCTGAATAGTTGGCTGAGATTTTCCATTCTCTTCAGAATGCTTCTAGCGGGTGGAGAAAGTGGGGTTAGGGGTCGGGAGTGAGAGGGCGGGAAGCATAGGCGGGCAGCCATGTGCTCATCACTTTGGTTATTTATTCAACAGATGGTTTTTCAGTGTGAGATACATGCTAGATCTTTTCCCAGGTATTTGCAAAGTAAAGTAGAATAAGGTATTGTCCCTCAAGGATTTTACAGTCTAGTTGGGGAAATGGAAAAATAAACATTCGCTTTAGCATATGCAAGGCAAGCATATCAGCCCGCCCTGCCGTAGGTGCCGGCTATGCAGCCCCATTGCAGTAGGGGCACCGAGGCTGTGAACACAGGAGAGGGACACCTGGACCACAGGGGCAGTCACAGGCAACTTCCTGGAGCAGGCAGTGAGTGCAGAAGCTGGCTTCACAAACTGGAGAAGCACTTCCGGTTTAGTTGCTGTTGAGTGTAATATACACACATGATGTCATGGATGGTTACAATCATTATATCTCATTTTATTTCTCAGTCGGCCTGGGACTTTATTCTCATTATTTTTCAAAAATAAATTAAAAGATAGAGATGGGGGTCTCATTATGTTGTCCAGGTTGGTCTTGAACTACTGGGCTCAAGTGATCCCCCTGCCTTGGCCTCCCAGAGTTTTGGGGTTACAGACGTGAGCCACCATGCTCAGCCAGATTTTATTTTTTATGCCCAAAAAACTCACTGTCTTCAAAAAGTTTGAGGAGGCCGGGCATGGTGGCCCACGCCTATCATCCCAGCCCTTTGGGAGGCCAAGGCAGGTGATCACCTGAGGTCAGGAGTTCAAGACCAGCCTGGCCAACATGGTGAAACTCTGTCTCTACTAAAAATACAAAAATTAGTCGGGTGTGGTGGTGGATGCCTGTAGTCCCAGCTACTCATGAGGCAAGGGAATCGCTGGAACCCGGGAGACGGAGGGAGGTTGCAGTGAGCGGAGATGGTGCCACTGCACTCCAGCCTGGGCAACAGACTGAGACTCCATCTCAAAAAAAAAAAAAAAAAAAAAAAAAAAAAAGCTTGAGGAAAACAAAATGCTTTGGTTCAGCCAACCTTTTGCTGCTTGAAGTCAGAGACTGGAGCGAGAACAGCCTCAGCAGCACAAAGCCTGCCCTAAGATCCCTGCGCCTCTTCCTTGAGAGGGCAGGCCAGGGTGGGTTATTGCAAAGCAAGGGTTAAACCAGCTTCTGCAACACCAGGTCCTGGCCTGGCTCATGCACTGTGCCACCTGAGTGTGTGTGAGGCTGGGATGGTCATGAGGCCTGCCTGTGTGCCCTGTGAACCGTTGGGGTGGGTGGAGGTGTGTGGCCAGAGTGAAGAGGTTGCTGGCCGATTCCACTGTGAAGGTCAACTGGGGAGCCAGTAACTGTCACAAAGTGGAAGGAAGAGAAGACAGCGGAAGCCCAGAGAAGCAGTGTGTCTCACCTGCGGCAGCGCACTTTGCTTGGTTGGCTTGGGGCAGAGGCTGACGTTGAGAGCTGTCAAGATACCAGTTGCACATGCTTTCCCCCTCCACCTCTGTGTGCATTCCTCCATCCAGAGTAGATTCTGCGCGGGACCTCCCCTCTGTCACACCCTGGGCATGATGTTGAGGAAGCCAGTGAATTGGGCTCAGCCCTGTCCTTGGGGAGCTGGCTATTCAGGGTGGTTACCACGCACGTGGCTGAGGGGCCTGACCTAACGTGTGCCTTCTGGGACCCTCTGCATATAGCTCGAGTGTCCCCAGCATCCTTGTGAGCCACATGCTGATGCTGCAGCACGCCAAAGCCCTGTCCTTGGTGTGGGATTATTTGCAGTTAGTATTCCAAATGTCAAGTTCCCCTTGACTTGCGCTGAGCAGACAAAACAAAATGGCAGACAGATTAGAAGAGGCTTGAGAAGCCTTTTAGGATTTGAAAACCTTACTCTGTTGACTTTGAAAAGCTGCTGAACCAGGCCCATCTGTACAGGGCCTGGGGGCATCTGCTTGGAGCCCATTGGCTCCGTGGGCTTGGGAGGCTCTGGACAGTGCTGGCTCTCCCCTCCCCACCTGCGTGTGCATGGGAGCCAGGGATGCTCACCGAGAATGGGCAGGAATTGAATGCAGTCCCTCCCAATTAGTGTTGTGAGGGAAGGAGAAAAGGAGGGAAGGAGGAGAGGCAGTCGGGGGCTGGGGCCTCTGAGGGCTTCAGGAAGATTTCCGGTGAGTCCCCCAACGTGGGGGGCCATGTTAGTCAGCATCCATTTAATCCCATCTCATATTTGCCCTGCTTACTGCAGAGACCCAGTGGGTAAAAGGAAACAGGATAGCCCACTGGATTATAGTCTTTCTGGAATGGATAGTTAGAAGTTTAAGAAGTTATGCCCATCAGAGGTACAGAAGTCCCTGGCTAAGAATCCAGAGTGCCAGTGCTAGAAGAACTTTAGAGATGGTTCTGTTTATTCCCTTCTTTCTGCAGATGTAGTAGCTGAAGCTCAGAGAGGTTAAGTAATCGGTCGAAGCCACACAGGAAGCGGTAAAGCTGGAATTGGCGCCCATCTCTCTGGCTCCAGTGCCCATGCTTGTCCTGTGACATCATCTTGGCTCCTGCTCTTAATCCTCCCTTGCGAGACTTATTTCTCCTGCCCTTCCCCCAGCTACTTCCTTTTCCTGCCTGGATTCCCCAGGAATTCCTCTGCGTTGCTGCCTTGTCCAGCCTGGGAGAAGCGACAAGAGCTGACCATTTGAGTGAGAACCCAGCCCCTTGCTGTTTCTCTGACACCTTCCAGGGATCAGAGTGCTTGTCTTACGGGATTGTGCGTGCCTCCCTGGCTCCTGAGGACAGGCAGAAATGAGCCTTGCGCCTTTTTGGGCCTCTCGGTCTCAGGGAGGTTTCCTTGAATCGATGTGTTTGGGCACCGGGGAGATAGACTTTAAATGTTGTGAAACTCTGGGGCCCATGGCAGCCTGTGGTAAGTCTGGCCGGACACATGATCTTCAGCCCTAGCCTTAAATCAGCCTCTGTCTCCTGCTGTCTCTGCCAGCCATGCAGGGCAGATTGCATGAGGGTTCTTGACATGGATCACAGTTGCCGGGGCCCAGAGTCTGGAAGGTGGTTTTTGTCTCTTGTCTCCTTTTTCTTTGCACACTTATGCACAAGTGCCTTTTGTTCCCAGAAATGCAGCTTTCTCAGTCCCCATCCTAGAAACATTGTCGGAATGTAATAAATCTGATTCTGTTTATGTTGAAGAAATGAAACATATTGCTCTCCAAGGAGGAATGCAGCGGAGGCCTTGAACAGGGCTATGTTTATGACAACAGTTTGCACATGTGGCTTTATTTTTGAAAGCGTAGTGCTTTGCCCTTCTTGATGGGATTCTGGTAACAAGAGCTGATTCTTGTGTCCGGGTGTTGGGCAAACAAAGGGCAGAGCTGGCTGAGGCCCTCACAGCTGTGGCTGTCACCTTAGTTCTGAGAGCCTGGCTCCTCTAGGCCCTTGTCCTTTCCTGGGGGTTGCAGCTCTTCCCGGGGCAGTGCCTCTGTGCTGCTTGAGTCAGAGCTTATTAGTTCAGCCTCCTATTCCCATTTCCAGGTCCAAAACAACAGGATGAAATTTAATAGGCATAAATGTAAAGTCCTACAATGTGGGTTCAAAAAAATCAACTTCACAGGCACAGGATGAAGAAGATTCATTTGAACGGCAAGTGAGAAAGTGGCCCTTGAATGTAGCTGCCAGTCGGCTCTGTGTGGCAGCAGTTGGCCATCACTGAAAGAGAGTAATACAGGCTCACTGCACAGGTATCATGTCCGCAAGGAGAAAGATGATGTTGTTATTGTTAATAATTCATCCTAATAGCTAGGTACTTTACATGCATTATTCTTCCATTCTTAAAACCATCCTTTGAGGTAGGTCATATGATCCTCCTATTTTGGAAGAGGAGACCCTGGCTTGGAGAGGTTAAGTTACTTGACCAATGTTAAACTGCAAGAAAGTGGCGGGACCAACTGTAATCCAGGTCAGACTCAGAGCCTGTGCCATTTGGAGCTAATGAGTGGGTCCGTAGATGGTAGAGATTTGGAATGGAGAAACACTGAAGGAAATGACAGCATTTAGCTTGCTGGCAGAGTCTTTATAACATCTGACTTGTATTTTATTTGTTTATTTTTGAAATTTATTTATTTATTTATTTATTGAGAGGGAGTCTTGCTCTGTTGCCCAGGCTGGAGTGCAGTGGCCCAATCTCAGCTCACTTCAACCTCCGCCTCCCGGGTTCAAGTGATTCTCCTGCCTCAGCCTCCTGAGTAGCTGGAACTACAGGCACGCACCACCACGCCCAGCTAATTTTTGTATTTTTAGTAGAGACAGGGTTTCACCATGTTGGCCAGGATGGTCTCAATAGCTTGACCTCGTGATCCGCCCGCCTCGGCCTCCCAAAGTGCTGGGATTATGGGCATAAGCCACCACGCCAGGCCTATTTTATTTATTTTTGAGAGAGGGTCTTGCTCTGTCTCCCAAGCTGGAGTGCAGTGGTATGATTAGAACTCACTGCAGCCTCAAACTCCTGGGCTCAAGTGATCCTTCCATCTCAGTCTCTGAGTAGCAGACAACACATCACCATGCCTGCCTAGTTTTAAAATACTTTATATAGATAGGATCTTGCTTTGTTGCCCAGGCTGGTCTCAAACTCCTGGGCTCAGGTGATCCTCTTGCCTCAGCTGCCGTAGAAGCTGGGATTACAGGTGCAAGGCTCTGTGCCTGGCTACATTTGACTTTTATATGGCCCTCACTGTGTACCAGGCACCATTCTAAACAGTTACATGTATCACCTCCATTATTATCTCTGTTTTACAGATGAGAAAACTGAGACACAGAGAGGGTAAGTCAGTTGCCCAAGATGATACAGCTTATACGTGGCAGAGCTGGGATTTAAACCCAGATAGCCTGTCTTGGAGTTCTTTGATTTTGGTTTTGTTATGTAGAAACGGGGTCTCACTATGTTCCCTCAGCCTCCCAAAGTGCTGGGATTTACAGGCGTGGGCCACCATGCCTGGCCTGTTGAAGTTTTTAATTACCAGGCCATGCAGCCTTACGGAGAGTCAGGTGGGTTGGGGTGGTGAGAAATCTGACGGTGTTTTTTGGCAGGATGATGGCTGTCCTGTTTGGATCCAGGGCAGAGCTACAGCCTGAGCATGGCTGTATAAATGGGAGAGGCATCTGCTCTCCTGACTCTGCACACCAAATGGCCAGGAATAGGCAGAGGAGGCGGGAGGATGCAGGAGACCATCTTCTCTCCCGAGAGTCTATGAGGTTATGAAAATCCTTTCCGTATTCTGTGGGGTATGCAAGGTCTCCAGGCACACCCACGTAGCTGGCTGGCTCCCAGGGCTTTGTTGAGGACAAGGTCAGCTTTCCTGGACATTCCCCACCCCCAAGCAGTGGTGTGTTCAGTGGTGATGGTCCCTGCGGACCACAGGAGGGGAAGTGACCAGGTGTTTGCCAGGTCCAGCCTGGCCCTATTAGGAAGCCCTGGTTGTCAAGCGCAGCAGAACTGCTGACAGTGACACAGGGGAACAATGCTGCGTGGGAGGAGGCGCACGCGTGTGTGTGTGCTCGCGCGTGTGTGTGCGTGCATGTTTGCTTACTCCCCTCCTGACCCGAGTGCCAGCAGTGACACACTTTACTTGTCCCCTCTGGTCCCCTGTGGGCACTGAATCTGACTCTCTGATGCGCTTGACGCCCTCTCAGGGCCCTTGTTGAGTGGCAGCTTTGGCTGTGGGACAAGGGAGCAAGTCCGTTTTTTTTATCTTTCTCCCTAAGCCAGGGCAGACAGAGGGATGCCTTAGGCTTATGTGGCCTTTTTGGAGCTCTTGTCAAGGACCCCTGGGAGCGTGTCACTTCCTTGGCTCTGGTTAGGGAGTGGAGGCACAGGAAGGTGAAGTGACTTCTTAGAGGCCACATAGCTAGCAAATGTGGGCCAAAGCTATAGTCAGGCCCTAGTGACTGGGGCCAGGGGGGTTTGGAAAGATGATCTCTTCTGCCCAGCCCTTTCATTTACAGATGAAACAATGCAGCCAGATGGGCAGCTTGACCTGGCTGAGGCATTCAAGGTGGCTGGGACTAGACTCAGGTCTCCTGGCTCCAGATCCCACATCATCCTCTCCACACTCCCACCCCTCCCAGCAGCTCCCTGCTCCACTTTTAGTTTCCTTGCATCTCACTTACTGTTGCTGCCTCTCCTGCAGGGCTGATGCGTGTATCTGTGACTGCCATGTGGGAGTCCTTTCACCTACTGCTCCTGCCACCTTCCTTGGTTGCCAGTATCTGATTATTCTATTTGCCACCCCCCTTGCCTCCTGGGAGCTAATAGCAACAGCTGGAACTGAGGGGAAGGCTCACAGGCTTTGGCTAGGCAGCCTGGAATCCACTCTCAGCCCTTCACTTAGGAGCTGTGCGACCTTGGGCAAGTCCTTCAACCTTTCTGAGCCCTGGTTTCTCATCTGGGAGATAAGATGATTCGGACTTGATAACCTCCAGTGACCTTGCAGCCCTGCACAGGTCTGTGGCTGGTGATTTTCATGAAAGGGAGCAAGAGCCACACTGACCTGTTGTTGGAAGCTGTTGGGAAGGGCAGATGACATGGACTGGTGGGAAAGACCCTGTGTTAGGAGGCTCAGGCATGCATTTCCAGCTCTGCCTTCACCAGAGAACAGTTGCCTTGGCTGTGGGTGCTGGCGGGCAGTTGGGGCAAGGCACCACCCTCCTTGTTGCTTCTCTGCCACTTCCTTTGCACCAATGCTGGGGGCACAGACATTGCTCTTCCTTTTTGGTGACCATCCAGGGTAGAGAAGTTGCTGGTGAGTGTGTGAGCAGCAGGCTTCTCCAGCTGACCAGCGTGTTGCAGGGCAGGAGTGATAGCCCGGCACAGGCAAATGCCAAATCCTGTGTCACGTAAGAGGAACTCCAGCTCTGTTATTGGGCCTGTGAGATCCTATGCACAGTAGATCACAGGTGTGGTGTGGAGGGAGAGGCATCAGAGCAGAACCAGAAAACTCTCTTTGTCACTGTCTTCAGTCTTGCTATTGTGTTGGCTGTATACATGGTTTTCATTCTTGGGTTTTTGTCTTGGCTGTGAAGTGGCACGATTTTCTGAACTAATCCTGTTTCATGTAACCCGAACCCAAGTATCTGGACGTGAAGGGCGAGCTTTTTCTTCCTCTTCCTTAACCAAGGATATCCGAGACTGTAGCATCTGGAAGTGGTTGGGCATCTGGTCTGAGGGAGTGTGTGTGTGCATGCACACACTTCTGTAATACTGAGTGACTGTGTCCAGACAATGCGCCTTTGTCTCTCCAGCCAGGCATATACCTGTGCTTCTTTCTATATAGAGGACGTTACATGCGGAGGTTATTATATCGGGGCATATGTTTATGTGGCATACACATGTATAAACCTTTATTTCTACTTAGAAGAAGGAAATTTTGAAGGGCTTTCTGTGTACTAAAGTGTTTGCAATGATGGATGTTGATGTATTTTTCTTTACAAAATGTAATAAGCCATTTAACAGTGCCTTCAGTGGCTGTCATTAGCCATTTCTTCATTACTTCCAGGCTCTGCCGAATCATGCATTGGGGGATCCCTGCTCCCTGGCACCAGGAGCAGTGATCTGCACCCACGGTGGTGTGCTCAGGAGGTAGCACGGACTTCAGGGTGGCCTGCGTTGGCGATCTGTTAAGGGTGTCTCTTTGCTGCCTGGTTTTGACGTGGGTGGGATCCTGTCCTGGGAGATTTCTGGGCTGGTTGTGTCCTTGAGAGTTAGGCTCTGAAAGGGATTTTTTTTTGACTGCACAAGGTTGGAGCGTTGAGATTTGGGCTGTGTCAGCAGGTAGAGCCCGTGTCCTCACCTTGCAGGTGACAGGCAGACAGTGCTGGGTACCTCCATCAGAGGGATGTGCATGAGGAACCTAGGGTGTACTGGTGGTGGGGAGGGACTCCTGTGAACAAAGCGGTCGCCCTTGCTCTGGTTTGCCCCCAGGGACTGCTAGGCGGTGGATTCATAGTAGAATTTTACACTCAATGCCAGAAAGAACTTGGTATAGCCATAAGGATGAATAAAATGGGAATGGATGGCCGTGGAGGTGTAGGGGGCCAGGCCAGGTGACTCCCTGGGCACAGTATTTGCTCCTCCCTGAACCACTACTTGAGCCTCTGTTAAGGGAAGCCATTCATGCCTCCCTCTTGGTCACCAGCAGTCCTCATGTGCCCGGAACCAGTGCCCTTTGGGCTGGTCCTCCCTCCTTGCTGGTGGTAATCACGTTGATTGATGTTTGCGTTTTTTTCAGTTTGGCCCAGATTTCCTTCTGGCTCAGGTTGATTTTCAGGCCTGCCTTCTCTGCTTTGGGGGCTGCCTGTGCGGGGGATCCATGCAGGTCCGTTTTGTTCTTGGGCTCAAGGCTCTTGTGTGTATGTATTAGGGGACCATATAATATCCCAACCAGGATACTTTTATAACCAGGCAGTGCTATTCATCAGTATGGTGGGGCGCCAGGTGTGAACGTGCAAAGTCTGGGATGCGTGGTCTCCTTGGTGTTATGTTGGAAGCTCTCCTTCCAGCTACTGGGTATTGACCAAAATCTACCCAAAAGCAGTCCAGTGTTCCTCTCCCCTCCGTACTCCAGCCCTAGCAGCCCAAGATGAATTGTGGGGTGAGAAGGACAGCCAACCAGGCTTGTCCCCTCCCCCATTTCTCAGGGAGGGGAGCGGCTGGGCCGCTGTTTTGTATTGAACATTTGCTGCCATGGCATCCAGATTCCCAAGAAGCTGGGGGCTCCCTGCCTGTGATTGTGTAACTTGGAACAGTTGATGGGGAGGGAGATCCCTGAATTAGATCAGGAAAATGTCCTTTTCTGGTGACCCTTGCAGAGCCTATAGTCTCCTTGAGGCTTGCTCACCTCCCCTGTAGCCTGGGGCCCTGGACCAAGCACAGGCAGGTGGCAGAGGCCTGACAGTGGGCCCTCTTGTTGTTGCAAGCCCCAGCCTGGCAGGCCATCCTGCCTCCTCCCAGTACACAATCAGTATTGATTGTGCAGGAGGCTGGGACTGTCACATGCAGTAATCCTTGCTTCACAGCAGGCATGCTCCTTGAAGGAAGAAAGGAAGAGGTTTTGTCCCTGATCTAACATGCCTTTAAAAATGCACCTTGATTTAAGATTCAGCTTTTTGCAGCATATTTTAAAATGTCAGAAAGATAAATGTGCAGCCTTCTTAATGTGTCTGCCTTGAACAGCCCTTTAAAAAAAGTATATCATTCATCCTCAGGGTCACAGGCTGTTTGCCTCCCTCCCTGCCTTTGATGGTCTATCCACCTCTTCTATGAGCTGAGTTTGGGTGGGGGCAGGGGAATAGACTCAAACCCCCTTCCTTCCAGAAGTCCAGGAGATGCATTTCTTTTCTCTGTTTTGAGGCTAGTCAAGAAAGCCATACAGAGTTTCTAGAATATTATTTGGAACTTTGCAAAACAGGCAGGATCTAGGTACCCTTCAGGGGCATCCTTCTCATTTCCCACAAAAACCCACTAGCCAGAGACGAAGAGGAGGAGAATGCACACGCCAGCCCCTGCCCTCCTGGACAGGCAAGCACTGGCTCCCCGTTCCACCGTCATGTGGAGGAAGTAGGGCCTGGTGCGTTCCTGATGCAGTGCCTGTGGCCAGAGCTTCATTTCCAAGGTTGGGGTAGTGGCCCCTTCTCAGCTTCTTTAAGGTCCCGGTAGGTATTGGGTTACAGGTAAGGGAGATGCCACTGGAGAGGGAATCAGTCTGTGGGGTTGTCATTGTGTGATGGCTTTTTATAAAGGCGCCTTGGCAACATGGCTGTAGCTGCTTCTCCCAGAAGGAACTGGAGGAACCCCAGCGTTTTTCAAGATGTGAGTGAAGATGTCAAAACACTGTTAGGCTGATTCAGGAACTCAGAAACTCTGGTGGACAAGGCAGCATGGAGCCTGAGCGAGAGCTGCTGGGATTGCTGGTGTGATGAGGCAGTCACACATGGTGAGGCCTGGGCTAGCCTCTGCAAGTATGTAGACAAGGACCTGGAGGCCCAGAGAGGGTGGTGACTTGGCCAAGGTCACACAGCAGATCAGCAGTAGAGCCAGGACCAGAGCCCTGCCAGGTAGTTCTTCTGACCAGAAGCTTTTGGTCACCTCAGCCTCCTGCCTCAGGTGGGTCGTGCTGGCGACTCAGCAGTCCTGATTTCAGCACATGAACACCTCGCTCAGGCAGGGTCGTGCGTGTGTTCCTTGTTGTGAACACACTGGACGATGTGGTCCTTGCCTCTGACTCATTGTTCGCTGCGGGCCCTGTTGCTTGCAAGGAGAGAGGATGGGAGATGAGGAGTGCCGCCCTGCATGTGATCTGCCTGGGTACGAGGTCAAGACGGCTGTGGAGTGACTCCAGGGTACAAGCCCTCATTCTCCCTCCCACTCCCTAGAGTCGCCCGTCCTCTTCCCTATCAACCATTTTGAGGATCATAACATTTATCATGAGCTTTATTATGGGAGACTCTTCTTCGTGTTTAAAAATAAACGCTGGCTTACGGAACTATATTTGGTATATGGAAGTCGTTTGCATGTAAATGTGCTTAAAGGACAACTGCTTTATTTAAGATGCAGAGTGAGCCCCAGCTAGAGCGTGCCTGGGATGGGGGAGGGGACAGGACCCAGGGGTCTGCCTGGCTCTGGACAGATGAGTGTAGCCCACAGTCCTGTTGAATCTGTTGTCCTTTTCCCTGGGGACAGTTGCAGAACAGGATAACTCGTACTTAAAAATTCATAGAAAATGTTTCTTATTATAACGTCATAATTGTTATGACTCAGAAAAGTAGAATTGCCTTTCCACTATGCCTGTCTGCCCTCACTTTTGTTGCCTACCGAGTCCCCAGCAGCAGCTGCAGAATCATTAAAAAAGAGAGAGAGAAAGGGAAAGAAAGAAAGAAATCCAGGGCGATGCTTTATTTATGTTAACGGCTACATTTGACTTGAAAATTCTGTCCCCTGAGCCTTGAGGTCAGCACATTACAGAGTGATTGATGGCTGTCAGGAGCAGGCAGGGCGGCAGATTGCAGAGGGGGAAGTGGACAGATGATGCCATGGCTTTCCCGGGGCTTAGCAGATCCCAGGCCTTGAAAGGAACGTGATGGAAAACAAAAGCAGATGGAGAACTCTGCCTTGGCCCTTACCTGTTTTTTTGGGGGGTTTTTTGTTGTTGTTCTTGTTGTTGTTTTCCTTCCTTCCTTCCTTCCTTCCTTCCTTCCTTCCTTCCTTCCTTCCTTCCTTTTCCCTCTCTTTCCTGTTGAGCATTAGGAAGCGGGAGAAGGGCATTCTGCACCCTCAGAGCACCCCAGAATGTGTCACTTTTGGGTGTGGCACTGGGGTAAGATCCTAGAGAGGCTGGGCCCAAGATGAGGCACCCCTAATCCCAAGTGCCTGAGTTACTGCTTAGAAACCAGGAGGCCCGGCTCTGCCCTGGCGTTGCCTGTCCTTGAAATCCCCAGAAACATCTTGGGCACCCCCCACCCACCACCACCACCACCTTCTCCTTGGCCCCGTTTCCTAGGTCCACAAACCAAACAGGAGGACCAACTCTGGGCTCTTGTAAATTGTTCCTGCCTTATGGCCTGCGCTACTTAGGATTATGTTTCCACAGGGCTTTCTGGCTAATCCTTGTGTATTTTCAGTGGTGGAAACAAATGGTATCAGACCCACAGGCCTGTTTACAGATGGGGAGACACGGAAATGATGGAAGAGCTTTGAATTTTAAACATTAGCTAATGAAATTGCAGACAAGGGCAATGGGTGGAACGGCCTGGGTATTCCCATGAAACAGTTATTAGAGTCAGAATGCTCTGGGGTCGGCCATGAGGGAGAAAGGCAGGCCTGGCTCGCGTGTGTGTGCCACAAACATTTATGGAGCCCTTTCCCAGTGCCAGGAGCTGCGTCAAGGAAGAGCTTTGAGTCCTGCCCAGGGTGTCCCAGCCTGGTGGCTAAATAGAATAAGCTTGGGGCAGAGAAGCAGCTTGACTGGCAGGACCTTTCTGCACAGAGGAGCTGGTATCTGCAGAGTTGGAGGAGATACCAAACCAGGCTTGGAAGGAAAAGGAGGCTGACCTGGCTGCAAAGAGGAAGGGATGCGGGAGGGTATTCCGGGCAGATGCTGGAGAAGCTGGAGGTGAGGCTGGAGTTCCGGTGTCCCCCGGAATGGGCATGACGGTGGGGGCTGGAATTCGTCATTTCCCCTGCTTCTGCCTCCCCCTCTTGTTGCTGCGCCTTGTGCAGTTGTGTCAGAGATGGGACTGGCTGTTCATTCATCCGCTAATTGTTTTGATAAGAGACTCTAATTACCCACTGCGATCATCAGATTACCCTGAGCTCCAGGAGGGAGATTTGAGAGTTTGAGCTGCGGCTGCTGCTGCCATCAGCACCGCCATCCCTGCTAAAAGGAACCTGCTCCTATACCTCGGCCCCTGTGCCTGCCTCTGGCCGGTGCTCACTAAGCCATCACATGAAGGTGTGACAGGCTGCTGGGTGGGGGGTGGCGGGGGGGAGCTGCCTGTGAAATCCACCCGAGAGTACAATCCCCTGATGTCAAGCAGGATTTTCCCTTTGATTATCTTTGCCACTGTGTTAAGTCCGCAGATAAGAGGTTTGGTTCTAGGGATTTCAAAATAAGGAGAGGAGTGTGGAGGAAACCAGAGAAAAACAGTAGCGCCTCTAATGAATTGACATCGGCAGTCGAGACAAATTCAAAATCCTTTTCGAACTGTTTGATTAAGTTCTACTTACATGTGATTTTAGTATAAAGAGAGCAATAGGCAAAAAAACAACCAGGAAGGCAGATTATAAATTAATCCAATAATTGAATCCCCCAGCAAAGGTAATGGGGAATGATGGTGTCGTAATCTGATACAGAATTTTACATCAGCAGGAGTTACAAAATAAGGGAGTATTTCATCTTGGGAGGGCTGATTGTGATTGGATGTATTGCATCTTAAAGCCTTGGCCCTTGGAAAGCTTTGGTATGGCATGTCTGACCTTTTTCCCACCTTCCACTCCTGTCTTCATTCATTCAGCCACGTCTGTAGATCCAGAAGAGCTGGTGAATCCCATGATGCTTGGGCCTAGAGAAGTAAGATTCTGTTCCTGCCTTTTCCTAGTGAGATCAGAGGCTCACAAATCATCTTGTTGGTTAACATGGTTCTCAGAGAAAGGGGCAGCTAGGCTGTGGGGTCTGGCTGGGATTTAGAGGAGTGGGCAGAAATGGAGCTACAATACCGAAAGGCACTGGGCGCTCAGTGCTGGAGTGACTCGTGCTGGGATGAGGTCCTGGGCCCAGATGCTCGGCTGCTCCATTTTTCCGTTTATAAAATGGAACTGCAGTAGATGATATCAAAGTTCCCTTTTGGCTCTACTCTCTTAGTTTGTTTATTCTTAGACCCCATTCTCCCGCCAAAGCAGAAAGCCAGAGAACATAGGTCCAGCTCTCTGCTCCCCAGTGCTGGCTGCTGCAGGCTGTGCCTTCTCCTCTTGGTAGAGCAGAGCGGCTTTCTGCCTGGCTCCCTCCCATTGTCTTCACATTTGGGGCTCAGCTAGCCGGGAAGTTTGGCAACATGTCAGGCCGTGTATCTTGAAAACCACCCTCCAGAAACCACCTCGTTTAGCAGATTTACCGACATATTGGACCTGCCTGTTCTCAGGGGCCAGCGTACTAAATCACAGCGGGGCCACTGGATGCCTTGACGCAGAACTTTTCAAAAAATTTCAAGCAGGATATATCACCACCCCATTAACTCCCTGCCATTAATCTACTCCTAAAAACCTGGAGTTTTCCCAAAAGGAACTGGAACGGGGTGAAAAACGGACCCATTTGGTAAATTCTGTAAATCAGGCTGGCCTTCTCTCCTCGGCCTCTCCAGCCTTGGTGATGGGTTGCTGCGTGGGAGGGTAGATCTGCAGCCTTCCAGGCTTTCGAGGGAGTGTCCCCAGGATGGATGTCAGTCTTAAGGGGCTGCTGTACTTTATCCTGCTCTGGCCTATGGGGTCACTGAGTGAAGTGTTCTGTAGGGGTGTGGGGGTGGGGACTGTCGTCAGGAAGAGCTGCAGAGAATGCAGCCGGCTTCTCGATGGCACAGAAGCCGAGCCTCATGCTGGGGCTGTGCCAAGGACTGTCTGGAAGGGACCAACCCCTTGCCTGACTTTTCTGATTGCCAAGAGGGATTTTGTTGTAAAGGGGCTTTGTCTGCAGCCCTGAAGACTGTCGAAAGAGTCCATCCCCACTTCTGATTTCTGTGGCCGGAAGGCTTTCTCCTTTTGGAAGAAGATCCTGTCCAGGAGCTGGTTGGAGCCTGACAAACCTGGGTTTGAAATGCCAGCATTCCTTGCTCACTAACCTCAGGAACGCAGGCAACACGCTTAACCTCTGGGCTCCTTAATTCCGCACCTATAAAATGGGGATAAAACACATTCTTCAAGGATGCTTGAGGATTAAATGAGATAATTCTTGTAAAATGCTTAGGATAATACTTAGTGCGATGCTGGCATTCTATAAATGATACTCAGTTAATCTTCTCTGGGGGGACACATAGGATACCTGCTGCATTCTGCTTGTACATCCTGCTCAGGTGGGCCTGTGCTAGCTTGAAAAAGGAAGACCGTCTTTTTTGCTAGTTCCTATCTCCCTCTACCACAACCCAGTCTTTGCAGCCTCACTTTTGGGTTAGAGTCAGACAGTCTCTGGGGCAGAGCCTTCCTCTGCTCCTTCTGGGTCAGTCCTTTCCACCTCCAGATAGGTGGGAATTCAGCTGTCATTGGAATCCAGGCTTTTGCAATCCAAGGCTGAGCTTTGCCCCCAAGCACCCGCATCCACCCACACATCTGCTGGCCTTCTCTCGGCCCTTCCTTCACTTGCCTGAAGGCAGATAGCGTGGTGAGGTGAGGCCAAGAGCAGTCCTTACCTGCCTGTTGGGACAGGGTCTGATGAGCAGGCCAGGACAGGAGGCTGGAGCAACACCTCCTCCCAGGAAGATGGGGAGCCTCCTTCCAGCAGGACGCCTGGCGTCCTGCCCTGCTGGAGGAACTGGTTTCCAGGGCCTGACTCCCAGCCCCACCTGCTGGAGGGGTCTTGGGATTCGAGAGGCCTGAGAGCAGAGATCTTGCCTCTGTTTCCTGGAGTAGTTTACTTTTCTCCCCACTTATGGTAAAAGTATCTGTTATCTTGTGCATCTTCTGGCCTTTACAACACTGATTAAGCCCTGGAAGCAGAATTTGGGGGCTTAAATTTTTTTTCTTTCCCCACTGAAGAGTAGTCAAATGCTCTGGGAGCTTCATTGACTTGCTTAAGGGCTGTCCATTGGTTCTGTGAGCTGGGAAGTGGGAGATTGAAGGGCCCTGTACCTCTCCTCACCCCAGGAAGTTCCAAATAACTCAAAAAGGTTCTTCTGCCTTGTCTTTGTTCTGGAAGTTTGGAGTCTCCTCCTGAGTTCCCTTGAAAATCATAGGTCAGAGTTCAGTGAACGAAACCCATGGAGTACGAGTTATTATTTGTCAGTTTTGTCCTGGGACAATTACGGCTTTTTATTCCCAGCCCCCCTGTAAGTGCCTGGGGCAGTTTGAGGGCAACCAGTGATTGTATGGGTTCCTGTTTTATGTTGGGTGCTGTGTTGGGACTTTCAAAGGCCACCTGGTAATGCCAGCTGACTTAACACCTGACGCATAAGTGGATGGATGGTTTTGCTTGAACCTAGGTTGGTTGGTTGAGGTGCCGGGGTTGGGGGGTAGGGAGACAGGTGAGTTGTTGCTTGGAGAGGAGAGAGTGGGTATTCCCTTTTTTTTTTTCCTTTTCTTTTGTCCTTCCTGCAGGGGAGGATCTTGCTTCCTACATCTCTTTAGCATACATAATGTAGATCCCATGTTCCTGCTTGACTTTGGGCATTTTCACATGGTATTTGATAGGTGTCATCTTGAGTTTATGTGGCCAGGTGCATTATCAGATGTGGCAGTAAGAATGAGCTATATCCTAGATCCCGGAGGGGATTGCCTCCTGGCCCAAGAACTCCCAAAAAGTTCTGATGTGTGGTGGGCACACATCAGAGAAGGCTAGCCATTGTCTGTGCTGGTGGCTATTGGCCATGGCTGTTCACCTCTCCTGCACCTCAACCCACTGAAGCCTCTGCTTCCCCGTGCTACAAAACTTCACCAGCAGTGCTGCGATGAATCTCTGATGCCTCAAATCCACAGGTGTCTTTAGTCCTTGTCAGCCCTGTTTACTGCCTGATTCTGTGTCTTCCTTTCTCCTGCCTGGTCAGCCTGTCCCAGCAGCCAGGAAGGGACAAGAGAAATTGTGGAGACTTGTGAGAAGCCAGATCCTTCTTGTACAGTGGTGTCATAAATGACATGGAAAGGCTGGAAGCGGGGCCACCACTGTGCCCCTCCCACTTCCCACCTGCAGCCTTTGAGGTCTGGTAGACCTATTCATTTTCCAGTCCTGAAGCTTTGGAAGGGCAGGGTTGAGCAGAGTGCATCCTATTTTCCAGCCCTTCTTCCAACCAGCTTTCAGTTTTTATCTCCAGGCAATCAAGCAGTACTCAAAACATCATGCCTCTACTCATGCTCACTGAACCTCCTTACTTTGTAGGCCAGTGGGCTGAGACCCCACCTCCTTCTCATGGGGGACATTCTATCTTGAGCCTGGTCGACTTCAGCTCCCTTTTCCTCATTCTGCTCTTAATTTCCAGAATAGCACATGGAAGACACTCCAGTATGTTTGCGTGAGTGATGCTAGTCGGTTGTCCTTTGAGGGCTTACCATCTGCAAGTCAGTGAGCTGAAGCTGTGCGTGCATTCTTCGTTTGACTTGCACGGGAACTCTAGGTTTCATATCGATTTCCCAGTTTTCCATGGAGAAAACCGAAGTGCAGTCAGGTTAAGGCCTTCCCAGGCCTCTGGCCTGAGAGTTGCCCTACTTGTTTGTGCAGACTCACCTAGAAGAGCCTTTGTTGCGTTTGTGGAATATTGAGGTAATGCAGTGAGAGCTTTCGGGATGGTAGCAGGGTGTGGTAAAAGGAGCCCTGGGACAGAAGCTAGGGATGGATACCACCCAGCCACTTGACCTCGGGCAAATGACAGCCCCACTCAAGTCCACAGTTTCTTCATCCAGAAACTGAGGGCACTGAGATGAATACAGCCTGCTGCCAGAGTTCTCTCTCTGAAACACATCTGGCCACGCTGCACCAGTGCCTGCAGTCTTGAGGGCATTCTCCTGTTCTTCAGGGTGAAGCCCGAGTTCCCTGGCTGGGCCCCCAAGGCCCTGTGGGTCAACGCCTTTGTCACAGCATCTCCTGTCTCTCCAGGGTCAGTGCCTTTGTCACAGCATCCTCTGTCTCTCCAGCATGAACAGAAGGGCTTCTTGGGAGTTCTTGGCTATACCATGTTCCCTTAGGCCACTGTGCCTTTGCCTGTGCATTTTCTTCTGCCTGACATGCCCCTTGCTGCTTTTG
The DNA here is from genome assembly GCF_000001405.40 of Homo sapiens. Classification (NCBI taxonomy): domain Eukaryota; kingdom Metazoa; phylum Chordata; class Mammalia; order Primates; family Hominidae; genus Homo; species Homo sapiens. The sequence goes on along the minus strand of NC_000001.11, from coordinate 54,321,003 downwards.
CTTGCTAGGGGGCAAGCTTCCCCTTGCAACTGAGCTCCAGGTTATTTTCCCAGCAAAGCTTTCCTGCCTCCCAGAGCGGAATAAACTACACCCTTTTTTTGTACTCTTGTTCATTCATTCCACAAATTCATTGGTTGAATGCGTACCGTATGCCAGGCACTGTTCTAGTTGCTGCAGTTTCCGAGAAAGCCCCAGAAGCTTCCGTGTGTGGATTGAAGCTATCTGCTTATCTGCTCTCCTTCTCTTTCTCCTGGTTTCCTTGAAGTCAAGGCCTGTGCCTCTGTGTCTGCCCCCAGTTCCTAGCACCTGGATGATGTTCAGCAGCTACTTCCTGACCTCCTTCCCACCTCTCAGGACTCTGGCATTAACTTAAAACTTTTCTGGTGGGCGAGCAGTGGCTCACACCTATTGTAATCCCAGCACTTTGGGAGGCTGAGGTGGGCGGATCACGAGGTCAGGAGATCAAGACCATCCTTGCTAACACGGTGAAAACCTGTATCTACTAAAAATACAAAAAAAATTAGCCAGCATGGTGGCGGGCACCTGTAGTCCCATCTACTCGGGAGGCTGAGGGAGGAGAATTGCTTGAACCCAGGAGGCGGAGGTTGCAAAGAGCCAAGATCGCGTCATTGCACTCCAGACAGAGTAAGACTCTGTCTCAAAAACAAAACAAAACAAAAAAACCTTTTTGGTATAATCTGCCTTTGCCTGTCTTTGGCTTCTTTGAAGCCAGATGTCTTCCCTCTGTGGTCCATTTCTTTTTTTGAAAAAGGCCAGTGTCACCCCATTTCTCATCTCTGAAACTGGCTTCCCTTTCACTTTTGTTCAGTGCTTTTCCACCCTGGAAGTCACTGGCATTTGACTCTTCTGCTAGATTGGAAGTCCCTAGAGGGCAGGGAGGCCTCTGATTCACCTCTGAAGATTCACCTCCCTCTCCAGCCTGGCATGAAGCAGGTACCTGGGACAGGAATGGATGGCAAGCTGCCTCCTGTTGGTGCATTTCAGAGGGGTCTGGACACTGAGGGAGCCTTCCTTCTGTCAAATCTTGAAAAATCGTGAAGTCTGTCTAGACAGTGAGTTTGAAGCCAGTTTCTCCAGCATTAGTCTTTGTGGTTGCTTCATTCCTCAGATGCTTCCCAGGCCACCTGCGTCCTTCAAAGAGAAGAGGCCAACAAAAGAATAATACAAATTTTCTGGAAATACCATGTCTTAGCTGCTGCTTTTTCTTCAGGACTTTTTTTTTTCTTTAAACCTAATAAATTGATGCAGAACCTGCCTCTGGCCATTTTTCCTGCAGGTGGTCATTGTCCCCTTGGAAGGCTCGCGCCAGCCTGGAAGGTTGATCATTAACAAATTCAGGGAGGGTCTGTGTGGTACAAGCAGGAGCACAGAAAGTTGGCTTGCGTGGAGGTAGGGGATGCTGAGGACCTTCCCACCTGTGGGGCTGAAAGTGACACTGAGTGGGTAAGGCTGAGTCCTGAGGCTCCTGCTGCTTCTGTGTTTGGAAATTTCCCTTATAAAGGGGTTTCTGCTTCCCGTCCTTCCCCCAGCACAGGCAGATGTCTTATGTACCTACATAGTGCCAGGTGTAGACCTGGATGGGAGTTGCAGAGCGGGTCACTCTGCAACTCCCATTCACGTCTACATTGTCAGAGGAGCTTTCCATTTAATGGTGAGGGTGGGGAGAAGGTGACCGTCACTGTGCAAGGGGACATGGGCCCTAGCTCTTAAGTCTATCTGGCTCATCATTTAGAAGCTGTTTGAGAAGGATGTTAGCTCTTCGCTGAGCCTCAGTTTTCTCATCTGTAGGCTGCGGATAAGGATACTTCCTCACTTCTCTAGGTTATTAGAAGGATTAGAAAGAACACATGTAGAAGCACCTGCAGGTCCCCAGTGCTCAGGGCTGGTTGGTTCTTTGCCCTTCTACTCCATTGAGCGTGGTCTGCTGCAGCTGGTGTGGTGTGGACAGCCTAGAACACTAAGGATTCGGCCAAAGAATTGCAGTGTTTCCAAGCCTCAATTCGCTCATCCATAGAATGGGAATTGCCATTCACTGGGTTGCTGCGGGGGATAGATGAAATCATAGCAGGGAAAGGTGCCGGATACATCCTGGGAAAGGACGACCCCTTCCCTCCTGTTACTCTCTCACTAAGTTTTAAGGATATTGTAACTGGCATAGGTAAGGCTGGTACAGTGATATAATAGTCTGGAATATCTTTGTAGTGGGAGGAGGGGGAAGATTCCCGGCTTGGGGTGGGGGATGTGGAGAGGCTCCTGAGAGGTGATGCCACTTCCTGCATCTGAAGGGGACCTGGGAGAGCAGGCTATGGACACATTCCTCTCCTGGCAGTCCTGTTCCTTACAGCCTGTGCCTCCAGCTCCTCCACCAGGAGGTGAGACTCGGCAGAGAGCTGCTTGGAAAGCTTTATCCTCCCCCAGCCCCCCAAACTCTGGGGTGTGAAGATGAACTGGTGTAACTATAGCTTGGTGTTTTGGTGTCTGTGAGGAAAGCAGAATTGGCTCAAGCTGCTTTCTCAGTTAAGGGGATTTAAGAAGAAAAAAAAAACTTAATCCTACCCTGGTGATCAATCTGACACCTTCCCTTTGAGCCCCAGATGGCTGGTTGGGGTAGAAAGTTGGCCACTGCTGCTGTTAGGGAACGGAATGGTATAGCTGTATCTCTATATTGAAAATTATGGCTCTCTGTACGCACATGCACATTGCATATATAAAGCCTGCATGCCTGGTTTGGTTTTTTGGAGGGTATTGAAATACTCCCAGAAGGTTCCTGTTGGTTAAATGTCATCCTTGGAGGTGTCATGTGAACACTACCTGGAACCATGTTCATTTGCCTTGGTTCAAAGTCTTTACCCACCTCTCCTCGCTCCCACCCCAAGCCTGGAGATGAGGTAGATGGCATAGAAAGAGGATGGAGAGGCCGGGCGCAGTGGCTCACGCCTTTAATCCCACCAATTTGGGAGGCCAAAGCAGGTGGATCACCTGAGGTCAGGAGTTCGAGACCAGTCTGGCCAACATGGTGAAACCCTGTCTCTACTAAAAATACAAAAAAATTAGCCAGGCGTGGTGGCAGGCAGCTGTAATCCCAGCTACTCAGGAGGCTGAGGCAGGAGAATCACTCGAACCCAGGAGGTGGAGATTGCAGTGAGCCAAAATCGCACCATTGCACTCCAGCCTGGGTGACAAGAACAAGATTTCATCTTAAAAAAACAAAAACAAACAAAAACACAGAGGATGGAGACATGACCTCACTGTCTTCCCTCCTTGAGTACAGCACCCCATCTCTTGTAGACAACTTTGGACACGTTTTGGAAAGTGAAAGGGAAACATTTACTATTATCCTGAGTGACTTCTAGACTTGGAAAAAAGGCTGCCCAGGTCTACACATTTTTTTGTGGTTTGATGCTTTTTTGTTTGATAAACATGTTTATCAAATTATGATTTTTTTTTTTTGAGAGTCTCGCTCTATCACCCAGGCTGGAGTGCAGTGGTGCAACCTCTGCTCACTGCAACCTCTGCCTCTTGGGCTCAGGTGATCCTCCCACCTCAGCCTCCCCAGTAGCTGGGATCACAGGCGCCTGCCACCACACCCGGCTCATTTTTGTATTTTTTGTAGAGACAAGTTTTCACTGTGTTGCCCAGACTGGTCTCAAACTCCTGTGCTCAAGCGATCTGCCCGCCTTGGCCTCCAAAGTGCTGAGATGACAGGTGTGAGTCACCACGGTTGGCCGATGCTTTTTCTTTTGATAAATAGTATATTATCATTACAGTTTAATGGCCTCATATGCTTTATTGAATCATTCCCTTAATTGGCGATTCCTTCCTGTCCTCCATCTCTCCACCCTGCCATTGTACATAACACTGCAGTGAACATCTTTGCCTTCCATTGTGGATGATTTTTGCTGTGATCTGAATACTGAGTCTCCCCAAAATTCACATTGTTGAAGCATAATTTTCAGTGTGATAGTAGTGAAAGGTGGGTCGTTTGGGGAATGTGATTAGGTCATGAGGGCTCCATCGTCATGAATGGAATGAGTGCCCTCCTAAAAGAGGCTGAAGGGATGCCGTGTGAGGATGCAGCAAGAAGGTGCCATTTTTGAAGCAGAGCTCAAGCCCTCACCAGACACCAAATTTGCGAGTGCCTTGATCTCAGACTTCCCCAGCTCTGGAACTGTGAGCAATACATTTCTATTATTTATAAAGTACCCACGCGAAGGTATTTTCTTATAGTAGCAAGAACAGACTAAGACATTTTTATTTTATTTTATTTTATTTTATTTATTTATTTATTTATTTATTTATTTATTTATTTATTTATTTATTTTATTTTTTTTTTTTGAGACGGAGTCTCGCTCTGTCGCCCAGGTGGGACTGCGGACTGCAGTGGCGCAATCTCGGCTCACTGCAAGCTCCGCTTCCCGGGTTCACGCCATTCTCCTGCCTCAGCCTCCCGAGTAGCTGGGACTACAGGCGCCCGCCACCGCGCCCGGCTAATTTTTTTTGTATTTTTAGTAGAGACGGGGTTTCACCTTGTTAGCCAGGATGGTCTCGATCTCCTGACCTCATGATCCACCCGCCTCGGCCTCCCAAAGTGCTGGGATTACAGGCGTGAGCCACCGCGCCCGGCCTATTTATTTATTTTTGAGACAGAGTCTCGCTCTGTCGTCCAGGCTGGAGTGCGGTGGCGCGATCTTGGCTCACTGCAAGCTCCACTTCCCGAGTTCATACCATCCTCCTCCCTCAGCCTCCCGAGCTGGGACCACAGGTGCCTGCCACCACACCCAGCTGATTTTTTGTATTTTTAATAGAGTTGGGGTTTCACTGTGTGCTAGCCAGGATGGTCTTGATCTTCTGACCTTGTGATCTTCCCGCCTCAGCCTCCCAAAGTGCTGGGATTACAGGCGTGAGCCACCGCGCCCAGTTAGAATAAATTCCCAGAAGTGCAATTACTGGGTCAGAAAATAAGGACCCTCCTGCTAAAACCCTTGAATCCTTTGCCAAATTATTTTCGGGAGGGTTGTCTTGGCCAGGTGCAATGGCTCATGCCTGTAATCCCAGTACTTTGGGAGGCTGAGGCAGGAGGATTCCTTGAGACCAGGAGTCCGAGACCAATCTGGGCAATATGGCGCGACCCTGTCTCTACCAAAGAAAAAAAAATCAGCTGGGCATAGTAGCGTGAGCCTGTAGTCTCAGCTACTCAGGAGGCAGAGGCAGGAGGATTGCTTGAGCTTGGGGGTTTGAGGCTGCAGTGAGCTGTGATTGTGGAACTGCAGCCCAGCCTGGGTGACAGAGCAAGAGACCCTGTCTTTAGAAAAATTAAAGACAGAGATCACACTACTGTACTCCAGCCTGGGCGATAGAGCAAGACCTTTTTTTTTTTTTTTTAAATTAAAAAAAAGTTGTCTTAATTTATACTGAGGCTAGCAATAGATAAATGGGTACTCTAACTGCATTTTAACTTGCACTGGAAGTTATTAAACATTGAAGAATCTCTTTTTTTGCTTGCTCTAGATGAAAAATGTTATAACTCCGACTTTTCTACTTTCTGTACCAAACACCAAGTCCATCTGCTGTGTGCTTCTCATAGTACCAAGTGGTGTGTGGTGAGTTCTTTCTTTTCCTTGACTGCCAGGGACTTGCAGCTATGTAAGAGAGGAGGGACAGGCGGCGGCTGGAAACAGAGGTAGACCAGGCATGGTCTTGTGCTATTGTGTGCAGTTATGAGCTGCAGGCTGTCTCACAAGTTAAGGAGAGAGAGTTATGTGGCCCAGAGAGCCTTGGCCTTGAGGAATGGGTACAGACAGTGCTTGATCTGTACAGGGAGGCTCCGGTAGTAGCCTTGATTCAACATTTTGTTCAGTAATGTTTATGGGGGCCTCCTGGGCACCAAGCTCAGTGGGAATAGGGAGATGGATAAGAGCCAGCAGCCTCTCCAGGCAGACAGAATCACACGCGGGGAATTTCTATATGCTGTGACAGATGGCTGGATAGGGTGCCATGGATGATCAGGGCCGAGTGACAAGCTCTGCCGTTCTTTTGTTCTTAGGATTTTCAGCTCCCTTCCCCCTTTCCTGCTTATCAAGGAAGGTTGGCCAGATCAACAAGTATCCCCTCCCTGTCCAGCGTCTGTACCCAGGTGGCTTTGACTTCATACTGGGAGGGGACACTGGAAGCCTCCTCATTCACCTCCTTTGCTGGGACACTGCCAGTTGACCGGGTGCTCACTGTCTTAACTAGGCAGCTCACTCTCCAATTCTGGTGAGACCAGTTCCACAAAAAGAACAACTCTTTTCCTTAAGAGCCCTTTGAGGTCCCTTTTAGGCAGGATCTAAGGAAATATTTAAGTTCATAGAATCTTTGTCTAGGGAAGCATGTTCAAGGTATCAGACCCAACTAACTGCTCATCCATTTAACAGTCTATTTCACAAATCTTTTTAAAGAAAATGTTGAGGCTTTGTGAGTGCCAGGTAGGGAGCTTTTGCTGTCCCCACCAATGTTGGTGAAACTGCACTAGCCAGGTGTAGGCACAACTGCAGGCCACAGCCTTTGGTGACATGTGTGATATAAAAGGGTTGCTGTGCCCTTCTTCTGGATCTCACAGCTCTGTGAAGTGGAGGAGTCCTTCGCCCTTTTTGCTTCCCTCTGGAGTTTGCGCTACATGGTAGGTCCTCAGAACTGCTTATTTGAATGTGTGCCCGCATACACTTCCTTGGTGTGTCTTGTCAGTATGTGGTCTTCCTCCCCTACCCCTGCCAGACAATCAGGTAATCCTGTCTCCCCTTGGAGACTGGGTCTACGTTTTACCTTGGGTGCTGGCCCCAACTCTGCTCCTTAGTAACTGTTTGGCTAAGCCCCCCTTGGCTGGCTCCCATTTTCCATCTCAGCCACTCTGATACCTCATAGATCTGAAAAGTGAAAATCTGGCTGGGAGCAGTGGCTCATGCCTGTAATCCCAGCACTTTGGGAGGCCGAGGCGGGTGGATCACCTGATGTCAGGACTTTGAGACCAGCCTGGATAACATGGTGAAACCCCGTCTCTACTAAAAATACAAAAATTAGCCAGGTGTGGTGGGCACCTGCAATCCCAGCTACTTGGGAGACTGAGGCAGGAGAATCGCTTGAACCTGGGAGGCGGAGGTTGCAGTGAGCTGAGATCCCACCACTGCACTCCAGCCTGGGCGACAGAGTGAGACTCTTGTCTCAAAAAAAAAAAAAGTAAAAATCCTAGTCTCCCTCCTTACCAGCTGCCCTAATATTTGGGAAAGCTTAGCTATCTTGACTCTGAGTAGCATCTGCTTACGAGCACTGCACAGAAGTGATGGGCAGCCTACGGCTGCAGGGCAGGAACACTCCAGGCCCCCGTGCTTTTGTGCAAGACCTTAGGCATTGACCCCAGAGTACTTGACTGTTGATGTCAAAAAGCATAGGCATAGCTACTCGGGAGGCTGAGGTGGGAAGATTGTTTGAGCCCAGGAGTTTTAACCCAGCCTCGGCAACATAGTGAGACCCCAGCTCTTTAAAAAGAAAAAAAAAAAAAAAAAAAAAAAAAAGCACAGGCACACAGCTTCGGTGTGAGCCCCCCTAGTTCCTGGCTGAGGAGCAGGGAAGCCTTGAGACAGAAGAGAAAGCAGGAGCCCTAGACTGTATCAGAAAGAAGGGTTATAGACTGTGCTCCCAGCTGCCTTCCATTGTCTGGCGAGGCAGAGGCTGCAGCCCCCTCCCCCAGGTTCTTCTTTGGAGAACAAACATATCAACAGGATTGATTACCCCGATTGGTCCCTGGGCAGCTGTCTCTGGCCTGCATCTGGAGCTGATTTCTCTGCCGTTGTACACCCATTGTCTTGGATTGTTCACTTCTACAAATCAGAGCTGGCTCCACCGCCCTAACCCTAGCACGACCCCAGATGCTTGTTTGTCGGTGGAATGAACACTTCCTGCTCAATGGAAAAAAAAAAAAAAAAAAAAGCTCCAGGCACACGTGGGCAGGCTCAGGGCCACCTCCCCTGCTCTGATGCAGACAGGATGTTCCTTCCCATCCCACCCCCTCCTGGCCTCCCTCCTGGGCCTGCCTTTCTGAAGTGGATTCAAAGTGGAAGAGACATTTCCAGGAAGCTGGACCAATCAACCCCCACTGGAGGGGGAGCTCAGAGGGGAGAGACACCCAAAGGCTGCAGTATGGCACTGTGCTGTGGGCTCTGGCTCCCAGGTGGGACCCAAGCTTGTGAGGCCTGGTAGCCCCCTGACATGGCTGTGGTGGTCTTGTCTGAACACTGGCCTCAGGACTTGTGACATCAGAATGGGTGGGAGCCTTAAGGATACAGAGAGGGGTCATCTCTTTCCTTTGGGCCCATAGTAGAGGCTGTGAAGGAAGGAGTGTACAGGACATGTTCTCTGGTCCTCTATGTAATCCTGCAAATTTTTTTTTTTTTAAGTGCAGTGGCGTGATTTCAGCTCACTGCAACCTCTGCCTCCCGGGTTCAAGCAGTTCTTCTGCCTCAGCCTCCCAAGTAGCTGGGATTACAGGCACCCGCCACCACACCCGGCTAATTTATATTTTTAATAGAGACGAGGTTTCACCATGTTGGCCAGGCTGGTCTCGAACTCCTGACCTGAGGTGATCCACCCACCTCAGCCTCCCAAAGTGCTGGGATTACAGGTGTGAGCCACCTTGTCCGGCCTCTTTTTTTTTTTTTTAAAGAGAGAGTATCTCACCCTGTCACCTAGGCTGGAGTGCAGTGGTGCGATCCATATCTCACTGTAACCTCAAACTCCTGACCTCCACTGATCCCCCGCCTCCCAAAGCACTGGGATTACAGGCATGAGCCATTGTGCCTGGCCACTGCATATTCTTTAACACACATCCCAAGCTGCACCCTCCTTGAGAAGGGAAGCCCTCTTTGGCCACTTGCCCCCAGCAAGACTTTCTTTTGAAATACTACAGAGCTCAGAGCTGGTGCTATGTGCTGGAGCCCCTTTTCTGTGGAGGCAAATCAGCCGGTGGATGCTGGAGAGAGGCAGTCTTGGGTTTAGGCTTAGATGGATCTGAGAGTCTCCCCAGCTGTGAGTGCGCTGGGCAGGGGCCTTGGCTGCTGTAGATGGTCAAGGAGTCCCCAGAACTGTGGCTCCGGGGAACAACACAGAGCTTGCTTTGGGTAGAGTCATACAAGGACTATTTCTACATGCCACCTCCTTGCTTTTTTATAGTGATGATGGTTTGGCTCATTCTCCAGCCAAAAACCTTAGAAATTGGAGACTCTGACTCGGCACGGGTGCAGGGTAGGACAGGAGGGCTGCTGCTCAGTGTGGTCAGGCTGCCCTCCTGAGTCTGCCGCCCCTCCGAGTGACGGTGGTGATGCTGCAGCTATGGGTGTCTTACCCTTGGGGGCTGTGGGGCTGGCTCACATGCTCTCAATGGGCCCCATGAGGTAGGCAGGGTTGTCTCGATTTTGACATCTTGTGGGTAGGTCCTTTAATAGTTTTTCAAGCTCTTTTACCTCCATTGTCCCTGGAGGAGCCTCACGACAGGTCCTGCAAGTCAGGCAGGCAGGGTGATTGTCTTCACTTTGCCTGGAAAGTTTCCCAGGGCCTGGGGGCCCAGTAGGGCTTGGACCCACTTTGACATGACAGACCCTCCACACTGCTGCCTCTCTCCTTCTTGGCTTCTGTTCCGAAGCAGGGAACACTCCATCTCAGCCCTTCCTATGGTGTTCTCAGCAGTTGGTGCATTAAGTCAGGGAGGACCCTGGTCTTCACTGGTGGTGGATTTCCGTCTTGAGCCCAGAGGCTGCCCAGCGCCAGACCTTCCCTCTGCTGCCCCCTTCTGGGATGGCCAGTTCTCTCCCCATGATGTGTCCCCCACCTTGTTTTCCCATCAAAGAATCGGCTCTGGTCAGCAGGCTAAAGAAGTCAGCCATCGATTAGGGTCCGCGAAATAGACCCAAGCATGTGTGGCTTGGAAGACATCAAGCCACAGATTTCTTATTGCCCAAGAGTTCTAGAGAGATTGTGGGTGGGGACCTGCGGTCCTTCCAGGTGATGTCAGCCCCCACACGGAGACCCAGACCCAAAAGCATTCATGCTCACCACTGCCAATCTGCATGCTCCCAGTGAGTCAGCTCAGCTCCCTCACTGCATAAAGCGGGGGTGGTTCTCCCCCCATCCTCACAGGTGGTATAGGTATTTCAGTTGTTTGAAAAGACCAGCAAGTGGAAATACTGTACTTGAATCTGTAAAATAGTGGTGAGTGGAAGCACAGAGTTGGAACTCTCTAGGCCCACCCACCCAGCCCCACTATTCCACTTAGCTCTTGCTCTTGCCCTGGTCTGGGCTGGTGCTTTGCAGATTGCATCAGGGAGCCACTTACCCCAATTAAAACTGTGAGGGTGGGGGAGGGAGGAAGTGGGTTGGGGTGTGTTGGGAATGGTTTAGCTAATGCAGGTAGTGCTTTTTAAAAGGCGGGTAGAAAACTTTCTTCTCTTTGTAGCTCAATTAAAAACCCTTCTTAAAATTAACCCCTGGGAAGGTGTGTCCGTGGGCTCTCTTTTCTTATGTGTACCCAACTCTGCATTTTCCCCCAGCCCACCCCCCAGTAGAAAAACCATGCTCTCAATGCCTTTAGAAATCTCTATGGAAGGTGACCAGGTGTTTTTTAAAAGAGCTCTCCTCCTGTGAAAAATGCTAGGTAGTGACGGAGCCTGCGGCCCCTGGGGAGAGAGAAGAAAGCCTGGCTGAGAGTTGAAGAATCATCCCAGAGAGGGTGTTGAGGTTGGCTGCGCCTCCCCGAGGTCCACACGGCCTGCTGGCAGCAGCAGGCACTAAGACGGGCATCTTGTCAGCCGGGCAGATGGTGTTCACCTGCTCGGGACATGCTCCCTGGTGCTGGGGCCCTTGGAGTTGCTGGGATAATAACAGACAGCTGCCAGCTCTGGACCGAGATCTGCGGGTATTCAAAGGCTTGGAAGTGTGCAGGGAGAAGGAGCCTGCCCGGGCTTCCCTACATGCTGTGTCTCGCCTTTTGTTTTGAGATTTGTGCTCCCCCCACCCCTTCCCGCACCAACATCCGAGCAACAAGAGCATTTTAATAGAGGACAGTTCTGTTTTGGAAACGACAAGAAAGCGCCTTGTCGAGTGTGACCTGGCCTCTTCTTTGTCCTGCCTTCCCCCGCTTTGTGTGTGCCTGCAATGGGTTTTGTTCCAAGGGGCAAAGGAGTTGGACATGGATTTGGTGTGTTCCTGGGGTTTTCTTTCTTTTCCCTTTTTTGGCAGCAGCTAAAGCTTTTGGTTATTTCTGAGTACAGGGCAACCGGGGAGTTAGGGATTTTTCAGGACCAAACTCCAGGGTCTTTGAGTTACCAAGTGGTGTCAGGAACAAGTGAGTGGCACAGAAGCCAACTTTCTGACTGCCTGGCGTTGTCTAAGCTCATTGACTGTGTGCAAAGGACAAATGATTTCTCACGGTGCAGTCTGCCTTGAATCCTAAGGGGAATGTTTCCCTAGATATCAGTCCAAAGCAAGGCTGGCTGTTTGAGAACCAGCTTCATTTCCCTTTGCTGCGCAGAGAAGGGATGCCGATGTTGTCTTGGTTATCCTGTTACTGCAGCTTGACTAAAAACTTCACTCGCCAATGTCAACTTGGGCTGGCCCGACTCAGTATCATCAGCTCTCATTAGGCTACTTGGAAAACTTGTGTGTTTTTTGGGGGTGGCTCAGTTTGAAATTTATAACTGGCCTCAGGGCAGGGCTCATGCCTCAGTCCTTCAGTCCAAGACCAGAGGGCAGGTTTGTCAAGCAAATGAGTGGTGTTAATAAGATGTGGGAAGGTTACAAAACCTGCTTGATAATCTTAAACTGCCTGAAATTGGTGTGTTCCGTTTGCTTGTCCGCATGGGATGCACCAGTGACAGATGACCCCATTGAGTCTCTAAAGCTGTATGCACATATGCCCCAGTTCATCAGATGAGCATTATGATTTTGTTGCAGTGTTAAGGTAGACCATCTTTTTGTCTCTTGTCCCTGATTATTCTAAATCAGTGAGATTTTTCTGCAGAGATTGCCTTTTTCTTAGGTATTTTTTTTTTTGCAGGGGAGGTGGGGTCACTGACTTGAAGCTCAGGTATTCTTAAAGAGTCCTAGTTTTCAGAGCTAACCTTGGAAAAATCTCTGCTTTCCTTGGTGATCAATGGCTTATCCTATTCTTCTTCTTCTTCTTCTTTTTTTTTGAGACTGAGTCTCGCTCTGTCACCCAGGCTGAAGTGCAGTGGTGCAGTCTTGGCTTACTGCAGCCTCTGCCTTCTGGGTTCGAGTGATTCTCCTGCCTCAGCCTCCTGTGTGACAGGGATTACAGGTGTGCGCCACCACGCCCGGCTAATTTTTTTTTTTTTTTTTTGAGATGGAGTCTCGCTCTGTCGGCCAGGCTGGAGTGCAGTGGCGCAATCTTGGCTCACTGCAAGCTCCGCCTCCCGGGTTCACGCCATTCTCCTGCCTCAGCCTCCTAAGTAGCTGAGATTACAGGTACCCGCCACCGCGCCTGGCTAATTTTTTGTATTTTTAGTAGAGACGGGGTTTCACCATGTTAGCCAGGATGGTCTCGATCTCCTGACCTCATGATCCACCCACCTTGGCCTCCCAAAGTGCTGGGATTACAGGCATGAGCCACCGTGCCCGGCCACGCCCGGCTAATTTTTGTATTTTTAGTAGAGACGGGATTTCACCATGTTGGCCAGGCTGGTCTCAAACTCCAGCTGACCTCAAGTGATCTGCCTGCCTCTGCCTCCCAAAGTGCTGGAACTACAGATGTCAGCACCCGGCCTCTTCTTTGTTATTTTAATTATTGAAGAGCATCTCTGGTAAGGGGTTTGGAGGTTGTTTCAGGGGAAGTTGTGCTTTAAAACATGACTTAATGGATTCTATAAGCACTAGGGATGTTACAGGAAAGGGGTCCCAATCCAGACCCCAAGAGAGGGTTCTTGGATCTCGCACAAGAAAGAATTCAGGGCGAGTTCACAGTACAAAGTAAAAGCAAGTTTATTAAGAAAGTAAAGGAATAAAAGAATGGTTACTCTATAGACAGAGCAGCCCCGAGGGCTGCTGATTGCTCATTTTTATGGTTATTTCTTGATCATCTGCTAAATAAGGGGTGGGTTATTCATGCCTCCCCTTTTTAGACCATATAGGGTAACTTGCTGACGTTGCCATTGCATTTGTAAACTGTCACGGCGCAGGTGGGAGTGTAGCAGTGAGGACGACCAGAGGTCACTCTTGTCGCCATCTTGGTTTTGGTAGGTTTTGGCCGGCTTCTTTACTGCAACCTATTTTATCAGCAAAGTCTTTATGACCTGTATTTTGTGCTGACCTCCTGTCTCATCCTGTGACTTAGAATGCAGCTCAGTAGGTTTCAGCCTCATCTTACCCAGCTCCTTTTCAAGATGGAGTTGCTCTGGTTCACACACCCCTGACGGATATGAAGATCAATTAAGACAAGGTCCCTGCCCTCAAGGAGCCCAAGTCTAGTAGAGCCAGAGGAAGTGTTAAACACAGCATAGTAAGGGAGTGTAGATTCTGTGCTGGGCCCAGACCAGCATTAAGTCCTGGCCCGGGCTAGGGGAGACAGGGAGAGGTTGGTTCTCCCTGGATCAGGGGGTGCCTGGGAGTGGATGTAAAGGTTGATAGAGAAGGTGACCTGGAGCTGTTTTGGGAGTAGAGAGTAGAGCGGGTGTTTGCTGGAGGACCATAGTGTAAGATGATGGGACCATAGTGGGGGCGTGACCATAGTGGGGGTGTGGCCATAACTGGGGGCAGCTGGTTCCTTTAGAGGAGGCCCTGGGCCCTGGGCTCTAGGGCCGGAAGGCAGAAGAAGTAGAGGGAGCACAGTCTGACTGAGTAATGGGATTTTAGGGTGCCCAGGTAGTAGGGCCTTGGTGATGTGTTGAGGCCTGGCCTTCCTCCTGGAGGCTGTGGGCAGGGAACAGCTGGAATGCTGCTTGAGTCTTCATAGTTTGGCCTTTAGAATCTCAAGGTTGAAAGTCAAGGTAAGCAGTAGTTGGAGGGTCCTGGTGGAAAGTTGTAGTAAAAAGAGCCTCGTGTTAGGCGCATGCCACCTCTGTCCACTACCTCAGGTGATCCTGGGCAGTCTAGCCTCAGTTTCCTGCTCTGTGAAGTGCTTTTTTATTTAAAAAAATTTTTTTATTGTGGAGATCAGGTCTCGCTATGTTGCCCAGGTTCGTTTCGAACTCCTGGAATTATACGTGTGTGCCACTAGGCCTGGCCTGTGAGGTGGTTTTTATATTTATATCTTGGGGTTGGTATAAAGGTAGATTAAGAGAGGCAATCACACGAAGCGCTCAGCACACAGAAATACCAAAAAATGTTTAGTATTATTATCTTCTTTCTAATGATAATACCAGTGGCAGCTCCTAAGAAATGCAGGGTCCTGGCCCTGGTGTACCCAGCTAGTGGCTTTCCCACTCAGCCAAGGGATGACCGAGGTAAGAGTTGAAGATGGCCTCAGGTGAGGCTGCAGTGTGGCCGGGCTTTTTACTTCTGTTGCACAGTCTGGTTTCAGATAACCCAGTCTTTGCCAGTAATGAGCCTGGTGTCCTGGACTGAAACTGTACTCCTGTTTGGACTTGTAGCTGTCCCCTGTTCTCCAATGGATGTGTTTTTTGACACACGGCTGACACCAGCCTGGGGCTTATCACACCAAGCTGTGCGTTATCATATTCCTCTCATTCTTTCACTTAGCAAGTGTGTAATATCCACTCACTCCTTGGGAGGGACCCAGTGCGTTCTGTGCTGTGCTGCCGGCAAGACTGGATCCTGGGGGATAGGGGATAGTAGGGGTGCTTACAGTCCAGGAGGAGGAATAAGAAATGAACCCAGGAGCTGCCAGTCTGGCTAGAAGTGTGCAAGGAGTTGGGGATAGGATGGGAGAGGGAGAACCTTCAGCTGGGGGAAGTCTGGGAAGGGCTACCGAGGAATGTGGTGTTTCCCCTGGACCCTCAAAGTTAGTAGTACTTTTACAAATGAGGACTGGGGAAGGGTATCATGGTAGAAGACAACATCATAGGAAACAGCTTGCAGATAAGAGTGACTGGGCTTGGGGTGAAACTGACAGCAGGGAGAGACGGCTGCTAGATAGAAAGCAAGATAATAGTGACCATCTTTGAGCCCCAAATCCAAGCGAGAGTTTCTTTCCACCTATGGCGTGTCTTTTATAATAAATCCAAACTCAGCCGGACGCAGTGGCTCACTCCTGTAATCCTAGCACTTTGGGAGGCCAAGGTGGGAGGATCACATGAGCTCAGAAGTACCAGCCTGGGCAACATAATGAGACCTCGTCTCTCTCTCTCTCTCTTTTTTTTTTTTTTTAAAGAAAAATAACTAAATGATGGCATCCAAACTCAAGTTCCCTGGCTTCTCCATAGCTCCCAATTGCCCAGTCTGGCAAAGGAAGCCAGTGGCCTGGAGCCTGAAACTTTCTTCCATTTTGAAAATGTTCCCTGGCTCTGTGATTGCTCAGTTAGGTGAACTTTCTGCTCTCCTAAACTCCAACTCCAGCCATAGATGGATCTAAGTTGGTATTTCCTCAGCTGTGATGTCTCATCATAGAAAATGGTGCTATTTATCGAAACCCTACCATGTGCTGGCCGGTGTGCTAGGCAGGTGCTGTGAAAAGGGAAAGGAGGCATTTGGAGGACCAGTGATATTGGGAAGGGCAGGGCCTGGGTCTGTGCTGAGAAACTCACAGCTACTGAATGTCTTTATTCCTCGTCATAGGCCCTGGGCAGTAAAGGGTGGTGGTTTCCATCTTACTTAGTTAAGAAAGAGCCCAGAGTTGCTCAGCTAGCGATGGCAAAGCTGAAGTTAGTTACCCCTGGCCTGGCCTCCCACGCCACGCCTCCCGCCAGGCATACATGGTCTCTGCTCGGCCTTTCTCTGGTTATGGTAAATCTCAGCTGGCGTGGAGGACAGCCTCAGCCATGCTGGTGGAGTGCACATGCTCCACTAAGAGCCGCTCCGGGTCCCACGCATCCTCGCTTCCTCATGGTGTCGGTGGGGGTGGTGGTGGTGGTCTTCCAGGCTCTGAGAATGTGTTTCTCTGTTTATCTGTGATTGCCTTCTCAGCAGCTACCCTGCGTAGGCCAACTCATCTCAGCAGAGGACAGCTGAGAGGCTTTTTACAAGGCCCTGGGTTGTTTCCACTGGTGAGGCACCTGTCTGTTCTCTGACAGCATCCACAAACTCAACCCTCAGCCTTGCACCAGCAGTGTTCCTTGTCTAGCAAAACATTCTGGGGTCTGGCTCCAGTGACCCCGCTGGACTGTGCTTTGTTCCTCCTCTGCCTGTGGCTGTCCTTTTACCACCTGCTCCCCATGCAGCCTTTGCAGGAACTGGACCTTCTGCCAGAGTTATCTGTTCTTCCACACTCCAGCCTGCTGTGTCCTTTTCCCACCATCACCTGCAACTCCCTACTCAGCCTCACCTGGCTTCTCTTCCCTGGGGAGCCCCTTCACTCCTGCTGCGTGCAGCTAGCCCTGTGCCCAGAAGACGCCCTGGTCCTTGGAGGAGAGCCCCCCTCCCCACCCCCATCCCCCCAAGAGCTCTTTAATTCAGGAAATTGAGGCATTGTTGTCATGTTCTGGAAGGACACTAGGTGACTGGTTCCAGGCCACTGTTGTCTCATGGAGGCATCATTCCCAGCTCCCTTTTCAGCATGGTAAACAGCCTCGCCGCCTGTTCACATTGCCAAAGACTCTAGGTCGAAGGCTGCCCTGCTGTCCTCATCCTGTGTCGTTTGGTTCCAACATGCCCGACCCAAGTGCTCCCCAGTTGTGTTCAGAACTCGTCATGGCTCCCTTGTCCTGCACAGGCTCAGGAGTACCCCCTTTGCCACATCTTGGTTCAAGTTTCCCCTTGTCTGAAACTTGACAAGGGCCACCTTCTCCGGTCTCCTGTCCTCTGTCTCCGTGCTACCCATCATTCGTTCTGCAAACACGTGGAGGCAGTGCTGTGTGGAGCAGCGCTGTCTGGTAGAAATGTACTGAGGGCCTTGCAGGTTATTTCAGAGCTCCTTGTAGCCACATAACAAAGTAAAAAGAAATAGGCGAAATTAGTTACAGTAATATACTTTAATTATGACCAAATATATTCAAAATAGCACTGTAAGATGTCATCAGTGTAAAAATCATTAATGACATCTTTTATATTTTTTTCCCCCAAACTGCCTTTGCAGTCTGGTACGTATTTTATGCTTATGGTGCGTCTCTGAACCGCCCACATTTCAAGTACTTGGTAGCTGCTTGTGGCTAGGGCTTCCATGCAGGACCGTGTGAGTGTAAAGATTTAAGAGCACGAGATTTGTAGCATGGTGGACCTGTTTAATGCAGTTTCTTGACTGCTGTTTATGGGCATTGTGGCCTTGGGTGGGTGACTTCCCCCTCCGAGCTTATGTGCACCTCATAGAGTTGTCGTCAGGATTGAACGGGATGAGTGCAAGGAAGGGCTCAGCATGGAACCCAGTGCATAGTGAGGGGAAATGCGGGTGATTGTTTACATTGAAGTAATGAGCCAGAGGCTGGCTTGGTGCCAGGGCCTGCCCCCTGCCCCCTGGGCTGACTGTCTAGGCGGGGTTGATAACAAACTGCCCGAACAAGGGCAGCGAGGCATCAGAAGTGTCAAAAGGGATCATCTAGCACAGGGACTGGTAGCAGGAGCACCAAGGAGGAGGGAGAGGTAGTCAGGAGAGGCTGCATGGCAGAGGCGCCCCCACCCCAAGCTCATCTCTGCTCTCTTGGCCTCCAGAGCTTTCTGTGGCAGCACCAGCACCCCATGGCTCCCGTGAGCTCACCCTTTGTGCTGTGTAATTAGCGCGGTGTGCCTCGCTCTTGTCTCTAATTGTGTTGTACAGCGTGTACTTTATTATATCAGGATATAATACCGCTAGCCTGGCAGTTATCTTGTTCACTAATTGTTTCACGTGTCTGTCTCGTCTGCCCCGCTAGATCACCTGCTTCTCCTAAGCAGCAGGCACCATCTTTTGTGTCTTTTGTCTCCCCCAGTAGGGCCTAGCACTGCCAGGGCATGGCTGGGTGTCAGGAGCCTGGCATCAGGGCCTGGGTTCGAGTCCTGCATTGACCGCACTGACTTGGTCTGCAGCTGCAAACAAGTCATACTCCCTCCTGTCATAAATGAGCAGGTGGTTTCTGAGCCCCCATGCAGCCTTAACATCCTCTAATGTGGTGGAGATTCCTCCACTGGTTGATATCACGTCAGTGTTCTCGAAGTGGTGAGTTGTTATTCCTTTGCTCAACAAATGTTTATTGAGCGCCCACTAAGTGTCAGTTACTGGGGAGGCAATGATGGATAAGACAGGTGGTATTTCTGCCCTTAGGGTGCTTAAAAGCTAGAGAAAGAAACAAATATTAAAGGAATAAACACATCAACATTATGCTAAGACGAGACCAACCTGGCCAACATGATGAAACCCCATCTCTACTAAAAAATACAAAATTAGCCAGGTGTGGTGGTGCATGCCTGTAATCCTAGCTACTTGGGAGGCTGAGGCAGGAGAATCACTTGAACCGGGAGATGGAAGTTGCAGTAATCACGCCACTGCATTCCAGCCTGGGTGACAGAGTAAAACTCCTTCTCAGGAAAAAAAAAAAAAAAATTATGCTCAGAGTCGTGAGCTACATTCATTGAGCAGGTATTAGAATACATTTTGCACAGCCTTGCCTGCACTAACTAAGCACCGGGGGCAGGGGGTAGGTGCTACAGTGAGGAAGAGAGGTTGTCCTGTTCCTGTCCTCCTGCTTACAGGCTGGAGGGGAAGACACACAAACAGACACAGAATGAAGGTGTCCTTGCGCACATGGGACGATGGTATGAGTGGGAGTGGCAGGCACCAGGCTGGAAAGAATGGGGGTACCCCCCCACCCCCACCCAGCCGCCCTCTGGAGCTGTAGGAGAATCCAGAGAGGATTGCATAGTTCGTGCCTCCGTCTTCCTCTTTCCCAGGGATTGGTGCCATAGGGCTGGGGTGTTTGTGTTCCTCTTGCCTTTGCACACATAATTTGGGGGAGGCTTGGGTAGGATTCTAAACCCAAACCAGATGAAGGCAGAGCCTGTGGGTGCCTGGGAGCAGGGGTGGCCCCGGGAGCATGTGGCTGGGTCACCCTTTGTAATTGTAGCACTGTGGTGAAGGCCCCGGAACCTAGGGTGGTGGTGGCGGCCGGACAGGTGGGTGGGGGATGCCTGGCTTCCCATCTGCTCAGCCTCGCTTGGCTCTGAATGGATTAGTTCTGTTTGGGTTGGAGCTTACTGTTGTGTGTGTTTTTCATCCCCCTTCCCATTTGTTCTTCTCTCCCTGGCCTGAGCGCCTCTTCAGGGTTATGTGCCTTAGGAGCCGCGAGGGTCCCCGCGTGGGAGGGAGAGTTGTGAAGTGGCCATTATCCAAACAAGAAAGGGAGTAATTGGAGTTTGCATTCTTCTGGGCCTCTATGGAAACAGGGATGTGGCTGGGCATGGGTAGGGGGTGTTGAGACCTCACAAAAGTGGGGCACAGTCTGCAGAAACTCAGGGTACAGCACAGTCCGGATGAGTGAGCACCACCTGGTACAGTGTGCCCCTTAGGTTAGCTTGTGCTGTTGAACCAAAGTTGGCGTGCTGCTGCTGCTGGTCTTCAACACCGCTTTATTGTTGATGAGATTCTGAATGGGCATTAATTCCTTCCTGCCAAATGGTCCAGGTGAGGCTTCTGTTGCGGAAAACTGTTGGCAGAGAATTAATATTATGGGCATTGTGATGTGGTAAAAGATGAGATGCAGGTCTTCTCCTAACCTTGCCGAGTGACCTCTCTGAGCCCCAGTTTTCCCAAGCAAGTGGGGATGTTGATTCCTGTCCTGCAGGGTTGTTGAAGGGGGAAATAGATAAGCTGTCTAGGAGACCCAGTGCCACCTGTCAGATGTGGGAAGCATTCAGGAGATCCTAAGAGTGTCCATCTCTTAAATGCCACACCAGGGGCACAGAGCATTTGGGATGTTGGAAATGCCCGTGGATATCAGTGGATTTCCTGATGGGGTTCAGGGAACTTCTTCAAGGTAACGCAGATTTGTGGGAAAACAACTTTTTGCTTTGCCCTTCTCTCTGAAATAAAAAAAATGGGGTCCATTGCTCTTTTTGGAGTTCTTTCAGTATCCACTGAGAGCCCATCCATGGAATGGACATTTTGGAGACAGAGTAGGTGAAGGCAGAGAAAGCAGCTATGGTCTTGGCCCTCTCAGAGTCTATGTTCTAGCTTGAGAATCAAAATTTCACACATGTGGAACAATTAGAGAAAAATAACAGATGGTGTCTGATCAGATGTCACCGCTCTGTGAAGCCCCACCCTCCGGCAGAAATAATCCTTCCTTTCTTTGGGATCCTGGAGCTGAGTACAGGCCTGTGCGGTACTCTGTGTTGCACTGGTTTGTCATTGGCCATTTGTGTCATTAATGTGTGCAACAGCAAATGTTGACCGAGTGTCTCCGTGTGCCAGGTACCATTCTTGGTCGTTCTGCACATCCTCCCCGAGCACCTGCTCTGGGCCCCTGAGCTGAACTGACATGATGATACTCTCCACTCTCTGGGCTTCCAGGCCCAAGCATGCATCTCGTTTCTGCTGGCCTCCTGAGACCCCAGGCCAGCTCTTCCTGTGCTGCCTCTAGAACTCCCTAAGGGCCCTCTTTCTTGGATATTTGGTCCTCAGTGGCCCTCTCCTGGGTTTGATCTTGCTGTAGGGCTGTTGAGTTGGAGAGGGTCTTTGAGGGCTTTTGGAGTCAATGAAGACTCTGGCCAGCCACGAGTCCAGCACTGCTAACCTTATCTTCTGTGGCGCTCCCTTACCCTCTCTCGGCCTTCCATTTTCTTGTCTTTAAATAGCTAGGATTGGATGGTGTCACTGATTATTGAGTTCTGGTATTGGTGACTGAGAAGGAAGACTGTGATAGGAGCATTCCAGTGTCTGGGAAGTCTGTACAAATGCATAGAAGCTTAAAAAGACATGCAGTGTTCAGGGAAGGAGGAATTATGTCGGTGGAGCTGGGAATGAGGGTTGGTTCAGGCCAGGTCCTGAAGGCCTCGGCTGAGCTGGTGTGTGGCAAGGAGCAGAAAATCCTCAGGTTGTGAGCCTGCCGTGTGAGCGATCTGGGTTTGATCTGTTTGGAGAAAGAAGTAGATTAAGGCTAATAAACTAATGAGGGGCCTGATGTAGTGGTCCAGGCCTCATGTCCGTGTCTAGATGGCAGATGGAGAAGGCAGACACTGGGGTGGTTGTGTGGAACCTGAGAAAGTGGGCCGGCCTGCTGAGAGCTGGCATGATTTGGGGGATTGCCCATAGCCCCTTTGACTCTCATTTTCCTAATAATTTGTTTCCCTGTGCCCACAAGGGTGGGCTTGGGGGTGATTGTGAATAGCCTAGATGTGTGTAATGCATTAAAAAAAAAAAAAGCCACCTCTATCCAAATTATCGACAGCGTGGTGGAGTAAGAGGGACCCTGGCCAGGTTCTGGGCATGTCTGTCTTCTGCTTTGGGCCTTAGTTTCCCCTTTAGTGAAAATGGCAGAGGGTAGGGGAACATCGGACCAGTGCCTGAGGTGTGCTAGCACGCCCCCGTGACTGCCGCCTTTGTTTCCAGGAGTTTGAGGATCAAGCATGCAGGGCAGGGTGGCTCCATTCTTGGCAAGTGGAGCGGAAAATACCAGTGTCTTGCAGCAAGTCCCAGAGGGTGTGGGATGGGTGTGTGTGTGTACTTGGCTAGGCGTGCCCCCTTAACATCTCCCTTGGACAGGGCATCTATGCTAGCCTGGCCTGCAACCTGCACAGAGTCCTGTCTCTTCTAAAATATTGTCTTCCCTATTAAATATTAATAACAACCAAGCACGAACCCTCAGTGGGACTGAACCCCCAGCACACCCTGGGTGGCTGTTCCTTGTGAGTGTTTGTATCTCCATGCCTATCCTCAGCTCAGCGTGGCACCTTGAACAGAGCTCGTGTGTGTGTGTGTGTGTGTGTGTGTGTGTTTTGTTTTTGTTACTTTGGAGCCTCTGCAGAATTTCTCACCACTGCCAAGTTATTTCCTTGGGATATATTTAGATAAAGCGAGATGATGGAGAAGTGGGCGACGCGTATTTGCTCAGGGCTGTTTGCACACGCTGACCATGGTGTTTTTGAAGCTGACGTCCAGGAGCTGGATCGGAGAAGAGCCGCAGTGTAGCTCCTTGTGGAGGTGGAAGGGGTCAGGGAGAGAGTGAGTGGCAAGACAAGTCCTCTCTTCTAGAGATGGAAAGCAGGTGTTTGGGCCCCACACCACACCCCTCTGCTGCCTCCTTTCCATCTGAATGAAGTAGAGCTCTAAAGCTACGAAAAGAAGTTGGAGAGGTAATTGTGAGTCCCACGCTCTGCCTAGAAGGGCAGCTTTCTCCTGGAGCCGGGTGGCCTCTGGCACTGCACACTGATAAGATAGGAAATCAGATTACTCTGTGGTTTGTATTTACTGAAAATCCTGGGGACAGCACTGGCTCCCCAGAGTGGTGGGAGTAGGCAGGTCTGGTACCACACCCTTGCTGGGACTGCTTCGCTGAACTTCCTTCCTGCTGCCCCCTCGTCAGTGTGCCCCTCTTCGTGAGTCTGGGTTCGTGCCTTCCGTGTGACCGTACGGCATGGTAGTGCAGAGAGGGGTCCGAGCTAGGCCTCCCCAGACCTAATCAGCTTACAGTGGGGCAGGGCAGCGCTCTTCTGTGATTCAATTCAGAGCCTCGGTCTGCTTGATGGAGGCAGCTTTAATGAGATTAGAAAGCTTAACCAAGAGGCCAATTAAATCTGGGCCCATACCTGTTTGGGCAGCTGTTGAAGCCCTGACCTGCACCCGGAGGCTTCCTGCAGGCCTCCTAGGAGACTGGTTGGGGAGCATGAGGGGGCAGAAGAGGCCTGCGCATCTGGCCCAGCCATCCCCAGAACCTGGGATCTGTTTCCCCTGCTGGGGTCAGGGTAGAGACAGAACTGAGGAGGGATCTGATGGAACATCTGGTCCAGGAGCTCCCAGAAGCTGGATCCCTGCCCCCTCAGGAAGACAGGCAGCTTAGTTGTTGCAAAGCTCACTACATGATTTTGATGTGCAACCAGGCTTGGAAACCAGGAAGTGAATCCATTCCCTTTGTTTTATGGGTACAGGGAAGGGCCTTCTGGGGGCAGCCAGCCAAGCCTGACTCCTCACCCAGTGCTCTTGTGTGGCATCTTTGTTCCCAGCTCCTTTGATTATCCAGGGTGATGGGGATGGTGGCGTTGCCCTTCTGTTCTCAGACAGTTTTTTGTTTGTTTTTTGAGACAAAGTCTCACTCTGTCTCCCAGGCTGGAGTGCAGTGGCATGATCTCGGCTCACTGCAACCTCTGCCTCCCAAGTTCAAGCGATTCTCCTGCCTCAGCTTCCCAAGGAGCTGAGATTACAGGCAGGCACCACCACGCCCGGCTAATTTTTGTATTTTTAGTAGAGAGGGGGGTTTCACCATGTTGGCCAGGCTGGTCTCGAATTCCTGACCTCAAGTGATCCGCCCGCCTTGGCCTCCCAAAGTGCCGGGATTACAGGCGTGAGCCACCACACCCAGCCTTGAGACAGTTTTTATGTCTGTTTCTTCATTTGTGCTTCATGCCACTGTTGTGAGGTAGGCCAGGCAGGGAATGGTGACTTCTCTTTTTACAGATAGGCAAATTCAGGTTGGACTCCTGTCCCAAATTGGTACCAGACCCAAAGGACCTGATTCAGGGTTAAGGTCTTTCCCTTCCATTACTTAAATCTTCCTTCTGGTTCCCACTGGAGGTGGTGGTGGGTGGTATGTGAGTTTGTGATGTCTGGATCCAGCCAGGAAGAAAATCCCAGCATCCATTAACTGTGACCTTGTGCAAGACACTTAACTGTTCGTGTCACCAGCAAGATAGGTCGGATATAAAATAAATGAGTGGATTCACTCACCTCAGGAGATTGTTGGGAGGATTAAGTGAGATCAGCCTCCTTTGGTGCCTACATAGAGTCTTAGGATGTGGGGGCTTATTATTGTTCCTGGGACAGAGAGCCAGGAGGCTTTGGGGGCAGGGATGGCAAGGCTCTGGGAGTCTGGTCTGCCGGAGAGTGATACCCAGCTGGTCCCCAGGGGACAGGCCACCCTTGGGGAAAACAGGTAGAGAGGGTTTAGAATGAATACCCATTTGGCAAGTATTTCTGGAGCACCTGATGGATGCGTGCCAGGCACTGTTCCAGGGGATGCAGCAGAAACTTGACCCTCACAAGTCGTGTGAGGCAGGCAGTGCTTATTGTCCTCGTTTTCTAGATGACACAGCCAAGGCACAGACATCTTGGGAAAACCGGATTCCAGACCTTTGCCACCCTTGACGCTGGTGTATGGACCGGAGGCCACATCTGTCCAGCCTGGCTGTGGGACTCCTTCCTGTACTATGTTGTAGATTCAAAGTTACCGAAGGCCCAAATTTAAATTAATAATTCCTGTCTTGGCCAGAGAGGACCATGGCAATGGCCTTAAATGGAGTTAGACAAAAATAGAAGAAAAACAGACTGCCTTAGGCCAGATTTGCAGCAAAGTAGGGACCTTGTCAAGAATGGTCCTGCTATCTCTGACTTGCAAGTTTCAGGCTAGGAACGGAACCAGCATTCACATTCAGATCTCTCCAGAGGTTTTCATGTTTGTCTCTTCCAACAGTTGTTTGAGGAGAAGAGAGACATGAAAACCTTTGGGAGTTAAGGCTGCTTTTTGCACCTTTTGACATTTGGGCTTACCAAAATCTGGTCTGTTCCTTAAAGTTACATCTTTATAAAGCAGACAAATAAGGAAGAAGGGAGAAATGTCCCAGAAGAACCAGGCCTAGCTTTGTCCAGAAAGCTCCTTTGCAGTCTCCAATCATTTGATGTTTATTGATAGTAGGCATTACAAATATTTGGATTCCACTTTTTTGGAACCAACAGTCCTGCAGGGAGATAACCTTTGTCTATATAATAAGACCAGGTAGAAAAATGCTGGAAGAGTCAAGGTAGAGTCTCATATAGGATTGGAGGGTGAATAAATCATCCTGCCTTGTGTCCAGGGTAGCCTAAGGGATATGTTAGAATGGCAGAAACTAGCAGGGAGGTGGGCATTCCAGATGGAGGGGAGAAGGGCATGTGCAAAGGCTGGGGACCAGCTAGTGTCCCCTGTGGCTGAAGCTTAGAGTACGAGAAAAGGGGGAGGTTGGAATGGGAGGCAGAGAAGAAAGGCTGAGATGAGATCACAGCCCTTTCATTATCTCCTTGTTTTTTTAAAATCTCTTGTCAACCCAGAGATTGTCCTATATTACAGGGTGCAGCTCAAGTCAGAGGTGAATTGCCTGCCTCTCTGAATTGGTCAGGGAGCCCAAGAGCTGGAGCTCCTGCCCTAAATCCAGTGCTGTGTCGGCTTGGTTAGGAGGCCATTGGTATTGCATGCTCCGTGGGATGCCTCATGAAAGGGACACGGGTGGAAACTGGTAACTTCTAGTATTGAGTTCCAGCTCATGAACCTACTTGGGACTTTAGTACCCACTTGGACTAGGAAGCAGGGGGCATTTGAGCTGGGCATTGATGGATAACTGGGAGTTCTCTAGGTAGATACATGGACCGGGATGGAGGGAGTGGTGAGGGACCTGAGACTTGATCTGTTAGGGGCTGGAGCCATTCCCAGGACGTGATCAGCACAGGGGTGGGGCAGAGTAGGGATGCGGCCGGGGGGCCCTAGTGAGCTGCAGGGATCCTGGTCTCTCTGCTCTCCCCTTCTCTCTGCCCCTCTCAAGTTTCATTTCATGTCAAGTGAGGGACTGAGGAAGGGACGGGGAGGGGAGGCTGGGGGTGATGGATTCCTCCCGCATGAGCTCAGGGCTTGCTCTGTGGTTTGTCTCTGATTGCAAAAACCATGTCTGCTATAAATCTGTGGCTTGGAGGGTCTAGCTGTAAGGGACAGTCCCTAGTTTGGTGGAGGAGCCTCTGCTTGTGGGATGCATTTTCAGGGAAGTGGAGGAAGGTATCGCAGGGTGGTACCCTACACCCTGCTGTTCTCAGCTTTTGTCCAAGCCCCTTTTTCCTCTGCTGTCCTTGGGCCCCACAAGTGGTGGGCAGCCAAAGCCTATGGGAAAGTGGCTCCCTGGGCCAGTGGAGCAGACACTCGTCTTCAGAGAGGCCAGGGAATCCAACCTGTCTGAGAAGAAATAGCAGGCTTCATCTTGGAGATGGAAGGGAGGCTGGCCGAGAGGACTGGGAGAGGCCACTAGGTCTCAGTAACCCACAGAGGCCACTTGAACCCCTTCCTGCACCCAGCTCACTGGGCTGGTCTTGTCTTCTTCCACTGTGGGAATGAGAACAGGGCCCCAGCTCTGTGAGGCCACCCCACTCCCTCTCATTGCTTTTGTCCTTCCTTGGAGCTACAAATGCTTTCCCCAGACACTAGCTGAAGTTGTCTTTCCCATTGTCTTGGGAGGGGGTGATACAAGGGTGATTTCCATTTTTAATGACCAATGGATCTGGGAGATGTGGCCTGCCCAAGTCGTTTGTGAGGGCTTTACGGGCAGAAGGAACAGTTTGTGGCAGGGTGTGTGTTTTGTTTGTTGTTATTTGGAGGGGAGGGGCGAGTTGTTAGGATGTAGCCAAATGGTAAGTTAATGGAAGGTGATGGAGATAGCTAGTCTTAGAGTTTGACCTTTTAGATTTGGTGACTACTCTTGAAAAGCAGGATTTCTTTTTTCTTTTCTTTCTTTCTTTCTTTCTTTCTTTCTTTCTTTTTTTTTTTTTTTTTTTTGAGATGGAGTCTCACTCTGTCACCCCAGCTGGAGTGCAGTGGCGTGATCTCGGCTCACTGCTGCAACCTCCGCCTCCTGGGTTCAAGGGATTCTCCCACTTCAGCCTCCCGAGTAGCTGGGATTACAGGCGCCCACCACCACGCCTGGCTAATTTTTTTTGTATTTTTAGTAGAGATGGGGTTTCACCATGTTGGTCAGGGTGGTCTCAAACTCCTGACCTCAGGTAATCCACCCGCCTCAGCCTCCCAGAGTGCTGGGATTACAGGCGAGAGCCACCATGCCTGGCCGAAAAGCAGGATTTCTGCAAGAATTTTATTTATCCAAAAAATATTTACTGAGCCAGCATCTTCCCTGTGCTGTGCACACCATTCCTGCTCCCATCCCTGGAAGATAGCTGGCTAATTTAATAAGGAATTAACAGTCAGGTGTGACAAACACTGTGCTGAGAAACACATAAATGACGAAAGGGTATCACCCAGGCCTGAGTAGAGAGGAGAAGAGTGTTGCAGAGAGAGGAACCTGCCTGTGCAGAGGGTGGTTGCTGTATTCATCAAGGAAATATGTGTGAAAGAAAGGCCTTTGTAAGCTGGTACTAGGTACTAAATATGTGTAAGTAATAATAGGTTATTCTTCTCTGAATGGGACCCCAATAAATGTTTTGTAAAGACCTTCCTTTGTGTTTTCAATACCATATCGATGGGTGGCATGAGTAGGGGATGGACCACCTCTATGAGAAGTCCCGTGTTTGTTTCAGAAGCTGAGTTTGGGTCAGAATTCTCAGTGGATGAACTCCCATGTCCCTTCAGAAGCCTCTGACCAGCCCGCGTGCCTCCGATCCTCCCAGGCCCCACCCCCTTAGCAGATCTCTCACCGGGATCCTAAGCGATGTGTGTGTTCTTGGGTGCTCTGGCCCTCTTCTTGGTGGGTGCAAACAAGAAAGCCCTGCTGTGTGCACCTGGTAGATGCCCAACAAATAATCTGTAGTGAGCTCCGAAGTGGCAGCCCCGCCTTGCCCTTTAGCTTTGTGGCTCCCACCAGACTTTAGCAGGCCACAGACTGGGGTCGCAGGCTGGGGCTGTGTCTTGGTCAGAAGCAGGTTGGTTCTTGGTGGGTACCTGAACCATCTCTTCATCCCCTCTGTATTACTTTTGGAGCAAACCATCCAGTCACCATCCTCCAAGAGTCTCCTCTGAAAGCATGCCAGGCTCTGTTCTAGAAGGCCACTTGGCAGGGTAGGGATGTGATGCCTCGTGGAGGGGCTGATAACTGTGATGCCAGAATCTGAGTTATCTAGAATGGCTGTTTTTGGTTCCTAGGGGTATCAGGTACCAGAGATATTACCCTTCCTGCCCCAGAGACAGACACATGTACATACACACACACGGAATTCATGTCCTGGTGAATTCTCCTGTTGGAGGCATTAGCATTCCCTTGCTTTGGCACCACTCCCTCTCGTTTGTTCAGAGCCCTGAGGGCTGGGATTGGGGTGGGATGAGGGTCACCGCTGTCTGGTCTGAGTGCGACAAACCTTCCTGGACCTGCGCCCTGGAGTCTGGGGTTTGAAGGGCAGCAGGGGTCCTCAGAGGGCTTGTGCAGGGCCTCGCTCACAACACAGGAGTGTTCTTGGGGGAACTGACATGAGGCTTCACAGTGGCCAGGGCAGCTGGGGCCGTAGAGGACATGGCCTGGACTCTCATCCCTTCCTGTAGCTTGGGGGCTCACCCACCCTGTCATTTGTACATGAGGCATCTGGGGCTCTGAGAAGGGAAGGGGTTGCCTTGCTTTTGGTTACCTAGCTAGTTTCTGTCAGGGTTTTCGTTAAGGCCAAGCTATAGTCCTCTCTTGTGTCAGTCTGAAGAATTCGGTAGAGGGGAATTAATTGTGGATGTTGAAGTCAGGTAGACCTGGGTTTGAATCCCAGGACTGCCATTTCCTGGCATGCACCAACTGTTGCATTCCTCCCACTCCCTTAGGCAGTGCAGGGGAGAAAGAGGGAGGGCCTAGCTGGAGCTTGTCACCTCCAGGGGAGTAGAGTCTTGGCTGAAGGGTCTGTCCTTGGCTTCCTAGAGCACTGGAGGGCCCAGCTGCAGGCCCAGCCATTGCTACTCAGCACCCACCTAGTGGGTAAGGGGGTCAGTGTGGGCCTCTCTCCCTTCCTTCTCAGCTGTATCTAGCAGGTGCCCGAGAGCAGCCTTCCAGGGGCTCCAGACAAGGTTCCCCATTGGCAGCACTGGTGCCTGAGCAGGATGCGGGCTCGCACCTGGATTTCAGGCAGGAGAACCATCTATGCTATTCCTTGCCTGACAGCTGGGCGTGGAGGGCTGCCTGAATGGACAGCAGCAGACACTCGAATAAGTGCCCAGCGCTTCGTAGTGTTGTTGGGTCCAATTTCCTTTGCTTTGTGACCTACATCATTCTTTATTTGCTAAACCCTCTGAGCAGGCAGCAGTAATAAATCAATTAATGACTCTGATGAATCGTTTAATGGCTGACAAAATAACACTAAAGCCAACAGCTTGCATCTCTCCAGCAGTACCAAAGGACGCTGGTTGACTCAGAGTGGGGGACGAAACAGAGACTGTTAGCTAAATTAGCGCAATTAGTGCATGCTTTAAAGGCTTAGACGGCATCTGCTCAGCGCCGAACCCGTGTGGCAACTGTGCGCTGGGGTGGCTGTGCAGACCACGGTGGTCCACTGCTCACTGCCTTCCCTCCTGGCCAAGGAGCTCAAGGGCTCCCGACTGTTCATTTACACAGAAGAGGCAGTGTTGGGTTTGAATTATGCGCCCCTTCCCTGGCATTGGGGGACCCGGGTGAACTTGTCAGACTGTGTACATTTTGTCCTGTCACAGCAGAGGAGGTGAGGGAAAGTGACTTGGTCCCCACTAAATTTGATGCTCACTGAGGAGAGTGTGGGCTCCCATCCTTGAAAGATGTTCTGAGGGCCCTGCCTTTAATGATTTATTTTAAACTTAAAAAAAAAAAGTTTCTAGAAGCGGGTGGTTTTCTGTTCTCTGCACACCTCGGTCCTGGCAGGATTAAGTTGTCATTGGAACTGAGCGTGTGCGCGGGTCCACGCCAGGGAATTTTCCACTTTGCAGAAGCAACTGCCAGTGTTCTTGTTAAGGAGCTGTCACTGGCCTACTATGACATGTTTGTGGTTGTAAGTAGCTCCTTTAAGACAGTGGGAAATGTGTGTGTGTGCGTGTGTGTGTGTTTTGCTAATGGTGTAAACTAGGGCCTGAAGCTCATTTCTCTTTAAGAAGAAAATCAACGTTGTACAAATACCGAGCTGTTGATCCACTCTGCAGTGTTCATCTAGGGGGGATCCTCTAGCCCTTAATCTTCCTTGTCTTGCATGCACATGCCTGGGACCTGCGTCCTGTGCCATGGGGCCCAGATGGGAGGTATCTGCCTGTGGAGGAGGGTGCACTGGCTGGGATCCACTCCCTCACCAGGTACTAATTATTAAATACATGGGGCTCCACCTCTTACCAAACAGTGACCTTTGATCCAGTCCCCAGAAGAAGCCGGGTGCTTCCTGGGATGAATGGGCAGGGCCCGGCAGTATGGTGGCCTCAGACTTCCCAGCCCAGGGAATTCACTTCCTCCTAAGGTGGCCACTAAGAAGAGAGAGGCCCCTTCTCAGAAGACCAAGTCTTTCCACAGCTTTCAGCCCCTTTTTGTCTCCCCATCCCCAGCCTGCTGTGGTCAGGGAATCTTAGGACGTCAGCACGTGGTCCTTTACCTGGAGCTGTGTCTCTGGCTCTGGGCCGCCGGTTGCTGAACCCGTACCTTGGCTGAGTCTGGCTGGGCACCTTACCTAAGGGTCATGTTTAAGTTCCCTATGCCCCCCACAGAGGGTAGGGGGCTCCCTTCCTTAGCAAATGATGAGGGGTGCAGAAGGTAAAGTGAGGTGCCTGAGGACTTGGCCCCTGGTGAATGGAAGGACTGGGCCCTGACCTGTTTCCAGGTGACCACTTTTAAGTGTCGATTCTGAAATTTGTATCAGAGAAGCTGAGGTGTGGCCAAGAGCTGGGGCTGTGGTTTTAGCAGATCTGGGCTTGACTTCTGGTTCTGCCCATTTCCAGCCATGTGACCTTGGACAAGTGCCTTTACTCCTCAGAGCCTCTGAGTTCTGGTAGTGACTGTGGATTGTTGGAAGGATGGAGGGAGAGAGACTGGATGAGCCACACCATGAGCTGGGTCACAAGGGACCGCCTGGGGACAGTGAGCCTTCTCTGACTAGGTGGCTGGCTCCTCGCCTGTGGGGGAGCCCCCCTATCCTGGGGGAGGGAAAGCGAACAAGCCCCACACCCACCCCCTACCCTGGAGATGGTGCAGGGGGCGGGTGGCGTCCTAGAGGGATTTGCTCTCTAAGGAAAGGCTGTCAGGAGGCCCTGTGCCCAGGGAGGGTTAAAATGACAGCATAATCTCTCACCCCTGTATCACCTCCTGCATCCTCGAGTCCTGCCGTCCTTTAAGGCCCCAGCTCAAGTACCATCTCTTCCACAAAGCCTCCCTGATCCCCCTAATCCCCGCTCACAGCGCCTGCCCAGAGCACCTTGCCTGTCCCTCAGTTCTCTGTCACCACAACTCCTTGCATCCTCCTGACCTGCAGGGCAGACCT
This sequence comes from Homo sapiens, assembly GCF_000001405.40. Classification (NCBI taxonomy): domain Eukaryota; kingdom Metazoa; phylum Chordata; class Mammalia; order Primates; family Hominidae; genus Homo; species Homo sapiens. The sequence continues at coordinate 54,289,511 of NC_000001.11, read as the reverse complement.
GCAACCTGTCATCTGCTCTGGTGAGCACAGCGCAGTCTGGGTGGCCCCAGAAGCGAGTGTTTGCTGATGCATCTGATGTGTAAAAAGCACTAGGAACCTTTTTACAGCCCCCCACCCCACCCCCCACCTTGTTTCTCCTCCTCTCAGGGTAATTTGCCAGTTAGATCCAACAGACTCTTCAGTGGGATCTTGCATTCCTTGACACACATGTGTGTGCAGACACACACATACACACCCCTTGGTGAATGCCAACTCATTGAAGTATTTGTCAGAAAGAGCAGAGCTAGAAGGTCAGCCTACTTGGGGAAGCACAAAAACATATAGACAGTCTCAAACACGGGAATGGATTGTGCTTCTCTCATGTGTTTAATGAAGTGCCGGCTATTTCTTTTCATAAGAGTCAAAGCACACAGAACTCTTCCTGGGAACTACAGGGGTGAGTGGGACATTACTGTTTTTTTTTTTTGTTTTTTTGTTTTTTTTTTTTTTTTGGAGACAGAGTCTAGCTCTGTCGCCCAGGCTGGAGTGCAGTGGCACGATCTCGGCTCACTGCAAGCTCCACCTCCCGGGTTCACGCGAGTCTCCTGCCTCAGCCTCCTGAGTAGCTGGCACTACAGGCACCCGCCACCACACCCAGCTGATTTTTTTTGGTATTTTTAGTAGAGACTTGGTTTCACGTGTTAGCCAGGATGGTCTCGATCTCCTGACCTTGTGATCCGCCCACCTTGGCCTCCCAGAGTGGACTGTGGTTTTGTTTTTTGAACCCAAGATAAAAGGTGGAGGCACAGAGGGACTAATGTTAGAGCCACTTAGCTGCCTGACCTTGAGATAGTACAGCTCTCTGTGCCTCAGTTTCCTTACCAGGAAAACAGAAATGACATCTTCCCAGCGATGTTGGGGAATAAATACTACCCTCCCCCCCCCCACCCCTGCTGATGTATGGGATCAAAATGAAAAGGCAGGCACTTCTCCAGCCCCTCTTGCATTCCAGGGTCATACCCAGGTGGCAGACATGAGCTGGGACTTAGTAAAATAAGCTCAGGTATCAAGACCACCCTCATTTGGGTCTGATGGCCTGGCCCTGACAGGTTGAGGCTTTTGTTGTCTATACGTGGCCCTTTTCAGGTCGCTTGCTGAAGAGCTCCTTGGACATCCACAGTGTCACTGGAGCAGCAGGACATCAGCTGCCTTGTGTGGAGTCCAGGGCCCGGGGCAGGAAGGCCTGATCAGATCACACAGTAGGTGGTTTGCCGCCAGAGCTGGAATCCTGATCCTGGGACCCTCAGTGCAGGACTCTTTTGTCTTAATAATCCCCAGGCCCAGGCGGTGGTGGGTCCTATGGCAATCCTTTTTTAATATGGTTTGTGCCATGTCTCCGCTGGGAGCGACCCCAAATTATCACAGCCCGCCCCCTTCTGAGGCAGCCAAGAAGCTTTTTGTAGCTTGGGGCATCTACTGTTGGACCCAGGGCCGTCCATTGGTGCCGGGAGACACATCCATCCCTCCTCCCACACGATGGCCCCCTGACTATTTGAAGGCAGGGATCTTGTGTCACTCCTGTGTGTCATCCAAACCTATTTTTAACGTCAGCTGGTTCTGCCTCTTCACGTAGCAACAGCTCTGTTTTCTCTAAACTGCACAATTAGAGCCCCTGTTCTCCAAAACTGATTCTGTTCTGTGGTCTGCATATGAAACCAGGAATCCTCTTCCTGTCCCCTTCCCTTCTTTGAACCCCAGTTCTGTCTGTCTTGGCCTTTCCATCTGGGTGATGACATTCCCCCGGTCGCTTCCATTCCTGATTTATATCTTTAGTTTGTTGTTGCTGCTGAAATTCCCTCTGGGAAACCTGGCCCCAGAGGGACCCGGGTTACTCCATAGTTTGCACAGAAGCCCCTGTCTTGCTGAAACCAGTGCCAGCATCCCTCCCTCCCTCCTTCCCCAGGCCACCAGACAGGCGTCACTTGGAGGCTTCCTGTCTCACTTGCCCTCTGTATGTAGTCATCACAGGAGTGCCCCAAGCTCCCTTGAGTGACCTCCATTTCCCAGCTTTGAGCACATGGCTCCACCCTCAGCACACACCTCCCACCCCCTGGTGTTTTGGGCCCTGGGCCACGCAGCCTGTGTTGAGTTTCAGTCAAGGAAGTCGTCTGCACATGCGGTTCTGCATGTGGCCCCCAAGCTGCTGCACGCCAAGGCCTGAGTATTAGGGCGGGGCAAGGAGGGGAGGGGATTTGCAGAACAAAGTACCATTTTGCAGCCTTGTAAATCAGTCAGGAGGGGTTGGCCGACCTGGCAGGAGTCCCACATTTCCCTCTGAGCATTTGTTTTTATTCAGTTTTCCAGGAGCTTCCTGTGCCTAGAACTAATTTTAAAGAGAGGGTTGGAGCGGGGGTCTCAGGCTAGTTTGTGAGTGAGGATAGCTGGGGTTCTTGAAATGAGGCCAGAAGATAGTATCTTGCAGGGAATGCCCCTGGACCATTGCTTCTTGAAGGAAAAGCATCAACACTGTTGCCTACTCTGAGATGCTTCTCTCTCAGGGTGGGATGAGAGGCCTCTGGGAATGTGGGGACTCGTCAAGTCCACTTGCTCCTGGAATTTGGGGTACTCTGGTGGTATTGGGATTTGTTGAGTGAGCATGAAAGGTCCCTATGCCCGGCACAGGGTGAGGTGGGGCAGTAGATGTCCCCCCGCTCCGCCATTGCCCAGAGCAGAAAGTTCCATTCCTTAGCCTGGCTTCCAAGGCGCTTTCTCTTGGAAGCACCGCTCTGAGGCCCCCTGTTTGAACCCTGCTTCTCCACCCTGGAGGTTAGAGGGGGAATATCCATCTCCTAGGGTGGGACTGGTGGTGAGGTTTTCAGGTGTCCTTACGGAGTGGGATTGCTGAGGATCTCTGGTTGCAGTGGCATGTGTCTGTCCCGTTGGAGCATGGATAGGGCAGAGGCAGGGGTAGTCCCTGAGCCCCATGGCTGTGTACCCATCCTGGGATCATCAAGAAACCCTGCTCTTTAGAGATGGAGCTGTGGGATCAGTCCTCTTCACAAGTCTCCCTGGCTGTGAACGGCAAACTTCAGGCAGTGCTCTGGGAAAGCACTTCGGGCTTTTCAAGTTGACTGTAGGTTTAGAGGAGGCACCTGGCTGGAATGGGCCTCATCACCCTGTTTAAGGCCTGTTTGCTGTTTAGAAAAGAATTTTAAATTAGCTTTATTTGTTGTTTTTGTTGTTGTTTTTTAAAGTGCATGTTACCAAACTGCATGGGTGGTTTGAGTTGGCTTTCTTGAGTCCAAAAAGTGGATAAGCATTGGTGAGGAAGGAAGGCCTGGGCGGTTAGAACCCAATGTCACCCACTGTTATCTGTGGGCTCAGATAACAGGTCTCTCGGTAGTGTTTAATCTTTGATCACAAAATGGCCTATAATGAACAGAGAAGAGTTAAAACCCAGGTGCCCTGGAAAGAGGGTTGCTGTCCTGTTCATGGAAGAGCTGCTGTTTCCAGACCTAGCTCCCCTTGGTGTGTAGACTTAGCTGGGGAGAGCAGCTTGGAAGAAGAGCCTTAGTGGTCATCTCCTCTAACACCATCATTGGACACATGGGGAAACTGAGTCCCAGAACGAGAAAGGGGCCTGTCCGTGGGCTCCCAGCTAGGAGATCTCTAGCTTCTGAATCCAGTGTTCTTTTCTCTCTTCTTCCGTGGGGGACTTCTAGCCCATGCACCCACTGCAGCCCTGGCATGCTGTAGGCCTCAGTGAATAATGGGGGTTTTCAGGGGTTTTGGTTTTGTGTTGTTAGGGAAAACTCATGAGACGCTTTGCTGAGCGCCTTAATGGAGCTCCAGCTCAAAGTTGGAAACCACAGAGGGAGGCCGATTCCTAGCAGTCTGGAAAGGCCTGGCTCTGGACGGTCAGCTTTGAGCAGGTCTCTGAATTATACACGTAGTAATCATGATTGGGCCACTGCATTCCAGCCTGGGGACCAGGTCTCTAATTATAATAATAATAATTTTAAAGTTTTTTTTTTAAAAAGTATAACTTACCCGTATTCTAGATCCTGCTAATACACCTGCTGTATGCCTCACGTTGTGCTGGGTCTCAGAGACAGGAGAAACAGCCCCTGCTGCCGTTGAGCTGCAGGAGGGTTGGTGCAGGGATTCAGCGTAATGTTCATAGATGTGGTTGGGGGGAGGGTACCTTGGTTTAGATTTTGTGAGCAAGTTATTTCTGAGCCTTTCCCAACCTCTTAACTCTTTTGTTGCCCTATACCACTGGTTGCTGCTTTTCGTTTTCTTCTTCACACTTTTCTGCCCTTTTTAAAGTTTTTTGTTATGAGCACATGTTTGCTTCATAATCAAAGAAGAACAGCAATAACTATCAAAATTCAAGGCACAAATTTAAGCACTGCAGGACGACTTAGTTTTGCTGCTTGAGAAGCTTTAAATGATAAAGGCGTCTCCTCAGCTTCCTGCCCCTTAGTCAATGCTAACATGGTCTTGGTTTTTTGTCCTCCTTCATTGGAGAACAGCAAAACTCCATCTTCCACCCCACATTTCAGAGAATTACACCGTGCATTTACTAGAACCATGGTGACCCTGGCCGTTGCATTCAAAGAACTGTGGACCATCCACTACCTTCAGTTCCTAGAACCATTGACTCACTCCTGATCTCATAGGAAAACATCTTAGAGTGAAGAGCCTCATAAATAAGGCGACAAAGTACTTGTAGGTTCAAGTTTTCATTTAATTTTTTTTTTAGGCCAGACACGATGGTTCACACCTGTAATGCTAGCACTTTTGGGGGCTGAGGTGGCAGGATTGCTTGAGGGCAGGAGTTCAAGACCAGCCTGGGCAACATAGTGAGACCTAATCTCTACAAAAAATTTTAAAAATTAGCTGGGTATGGTGGTGTGCACATGTATTCCCAGCTACCTGAGAAGCTGAGGCAGGAGGATCCCTTGAGCCTAGGAGTTTGGGGCCATAGTAAGCAATGATCGGGCCACTGCACTCCAGCCTGGGGACTAGGTCTCTAATTATAATAATAATAATTTTAATTTTTTTTTTAAATTATAACTTACCCTTAGTCTAGATCCTCAATATATAAAAAATCAAATACCCAAATAGCAAAGGACATGAATGATTTGCCATAAAATTAGATCTACAAGTGGCCAATGCAAACCATTTCAAAAGGTAATGACCTAAGAGGTAACTCAGAATACCGAATACCAAAGGGATACTAACTGCCACATTAGCAGACACTGAGATTTAATGCCTGTTATTTCGTTGGTTAATAGGCGGGGGGTGGTGGCTCATGCCTGTAATTCCAGCACTTTGGGAAGCTGAGGTGGGAGGATCACATGAAGCCAGCCTGGGCAACATAGTAAGACCCTGTGTCTTAAAAAAAAAAAAAAAAAAAAAAAAAAGTGGTTAAATAATGGTACATAAGAAGAATGAAATTGTTAAATGTAACACCAGTCTCTGAAAGAACCTGAAGAAAAATGTAGATGGATGTTTACCTTACCCCATTTTTAAAAAAAGTTTTTTGCTCTTGCTGCTGAGGAGTAATTGTTGGCTGTTAATCACAAAATTGCCATTTTCACAGAACCACTGACCACAGAAAAACAGTAATGCAGCCAGCAGTAATGCAGCTAATGGATAAGCTGGCGATTCCCTCACGAGGCCCCATCTCAGATAGTGCCGGGCAGGGGCAAGGCAGGGGCCTGTGACCTCAGACCTGGGGGATGGGGAGATCTACAATCCTAATTTTTGGAGATGCTTGAAACTTGTACACATTACAGGATGGTTAGCAGGATAGCTCTTGCAGAGAGGGCTGTTTTTCTGTAGGCAGAATCATTTTGAAAAGTAACGTGCGGCTTGCCCATTCTCTTCATCTGGGGTCTGCTCAACACCCACTGTATTCCCTGTATTTCTTTGTTGCTAGATTCACAGAGCTGTCCCAGCTTACAAAACACAGCCCATTCTGTCACTTTATCCCCCACAACCCTGGTGAGGACGTGGGACAACAGCTATCTCATTTTTTACAGGAAGCAAATTCAGAAAGTCCGAGTGGCTTGCCCACAGTCATCCCACTTAGTAGTAGAGGTGACAGTGCTGAAAACCAGGTGCATTTGTTCCCAGGTCTGTTCGTTTATTTTGTTGCATGCAGTATATTAGTGAGATTTGCACATTACCTCATTTCCTTTCATCAAAGTTGGAAGTTAGAGATTCTGGTTCCTTTTTTTTTTTTTTTTTTTATGAGATGGGGAGTTTTGCTTTTGTCATCCAGGCTGGAGTGCAGTGGTGCAATCTTGGCTCACTGCAACCTCTGCCTCCTGAGTTCAAGTGAATTCTCCTGCCTCAGCCTCCCGAGTAGCTGGGATTGCAGGCGCCCACCACCACATCCAGCTAATTTTTGTATTTTTAGTTGAGATGGGGTTTTGCCATTTTGGCCAGGCTGGTCTCAAACTCCTGACCTCAGGTGATCCGCCCACCTTGGCCTCCCAAAGTGTCGGGGTTACAGGAGTGAGCCACCACGCCCAGCCTCTGGTTCCTATTTTACTGCCAATGAAAGGAAAGAGAGTGACTTCTTGAAGGTGGTGATGGGAGGCTGTGTTTCTAAGAGGAAAAAAGGCGTTCTGTTTCCTGACCCCAAGGGGCTCATTCCTCTTTCAGAGAATCAGAACCCTGGGAGATGATTGATGACCAAGTTTCACTTTCTCAGTCATGGTGGGGTTTGGGGACCACCAAGGTTGGAGGTGGGCTTCCTGTAGAAGGAGCCCCTGAAGGCCTAGAATCAGTGGGAAGGAGCAGGGCCCGGTTCCAGGTAGGACTGTCAGACCTGTGGCTTCCTCAGGGCTGGGGCCCAGATGTCTCAGCCTCGCCCCGCCCCGCCTGTGTGAGCACGGGGCCAGGCACAGACGCGCCGACCACCTGAATAGGTTGCACACAGATCCTTTGGAAGGAGGCCAGGCTGGGGAGAGCAATGTCTGCTCACCCCTGGGAGGCATTTGTTGAGGCAGATATACCAGGCAAATGCCAGAACAGCAGTGTTTAAAGAGAAAAGGAATGACGGTCCCCCCACTTCGCGAGGCCCCTCTCTCTCATGAGACACCTAGGACCCTGCAGGGCCAAGAACACGCTCTGCCCTCCGTCACCCTCTCCAGCAGTGTTTCCCAGTTGGTCTGTTCATTTATTCGTTGAGTCATGGATATTTATTGATCTTTTGCTCTATATGACATGCCAGCCACTTGCAGAGGGCACAGAAATTTATAAATCACTGGCCTGCCAAGAGCTTCTCAGAGTAGCTGGGCAGACACGGCCCAGGGCCATATAATGCCAGGAGCAGCACATTGGCCATGCACCCCTGCTCTGCACCGCAGGAAGTACCTTTGGCACTTTGTCTCAGGCTGTCCTTGCAACCTCCCTGAATGGTGGACATTGTCCCCCCATTTTTTTATTATTATTATTATTATTATTATTATTATTTGAGATAGGGCTGAACCTTTTGGGCTCAAGCGATCCTCTGACCTCAACCTCCCGAGTAAGTGGAACTACAGGCGTATGCCACTGCACCCAGCTAATTTTTTATTTTTTGTAGGGACGGGGTCTCCCTATGTTGCCCGCGCCGGTCTCGAACTCCTGGGCTCAAGCGATTCTCCAGCCTCAACCTCCCAAAGTGCTGGGATTTTAGTTGTGAGCCACCACATCCGGCCCTCCCATTTTAGAGATGAGGAAAAAGAGCCTCGGAATTCGTTGCTTGCTCAGTGGGGGCCGGACCTGGGAATTGAGTCCAGGTCTGAGTGTATAAGCCCTACTTGTGTCCTGTCAGTGGGAACATGACACTTCCCTGGGACGCTAGGAGGGCTTTAAGTAGAAAGTGGCCTGTGAGGAAGGTCCACGGGGAATGTGGACGGACAGGGAGAGCCAAGTCCAGGGGTCAGAACTCTGTGTCTCTGGTTGTGGGTTTGGCCACTAACTCTCTGCCTTGTTGTCTCCACAGAGTGCAGCAGCTGCCCCGAGCCCCGTGCTTGGCAACATTCCCCCCAACGATGGGATGCCGGGAGGCCCCATCCCGCCAGGTTTCTTTCAGGTACGTGCGGGGCCCGTGGGTCTTGTGCTCCACCTTGTATTCCAGGCCGAGGCCCTGGGCAGGTGGGAGGGCGGGAGAGAAGTAAGTAGCTCAGTTTGCCATGGTCTAAATACAGTTGCTTTATGCTGGTTCAAATCCTTCCCTTCCCATCCCTTTCAACAGTCCTTCTAAAAGCTGAGAGGGAGAAAAAGATGGGAAAGCAGAAACCTCCTGCATTGCCTGCACTTCTGCTGGAGTTTGCTTTCTTCATGCCAGCTTCGTAGGCGCGACACAGTCTGCCCCTGGCCAGGGAGGTGGTGGGGGCTACTTCCAGGCCACTGTGGAGCTTTCTTTTAACAAAAGGCTTTAAAAAAAATCAGTAAATTGTTCTTTGTTTCTGTTTTGTTGCTGCTGCTTTTGTCATTGTTTACTTTACTTGTCCAAATGACAAACCTTAGGCGTAATCTTAAAAAAACACAAAAACCCACCATCCTGGCAGGTCTCAGAATCCTTTCCCTCTGGTTAACCACTTGATTTTTTCCGAGTGTGATCACAGACAGCATCCCACAAGCATCTGTGCCCGTGCTCTGCCCGCCACAGGCAGGAACAGATCCCACGTGGGTCGAGAGTCTGGCCTTCTCCAAGAGACACCTTGTTTGGCTTTTTCTGGGGTGTGTGAAATTGGGCTTTCTGTTTTGCCAGGTTGGGCGCGGCTGCCACCCTCTCTGCGCCGCCTCCTCTGTCTCTACCTTCTCCTCGGCGGTTCATGTGATTTAAGCCAACTTGAGACTGGGGAATGCCATCTTAGAGAGGTACAGCGTGCAGGGCTGTAAGGAACTTTTATGATGACACTCTCGATCATAACATCTCTCGTTCTTTCAAGCCTGTCGGCAGCTGAGTTTGAGAATCCGCCCGAGTTCTCCACACCTTTTGAAAGATTGGCACTCCCAGATAAGAACATGGAAAGAGCTGTTGTGTGGAAAAGGAGGCAGAAATTTCCTCTGTACAGCCCTAGAATTCAGAACTAGGACCAGTGAGGCAAAGTCCAAGGACACTTTTGCTTGGTATAGGCCAGAATTTAGCACCTGTGCTCACACCACATCAAGGCAGGGGGCTCTCTGGCCCTAGAGATGTCTAAGCAAAGACCTGACAAACGTCTCCTAGGGATGTTAAAGGGGTTTCCCTCTAGGTGAGAGATGATCTGGAAGATGATTCTAGTTGGCAAGATTTTGTATTTCGGTTGGTGTTAACTCCTGAGAGAAGAGGGCTGGGACATGCTGCTCACCAGCTAAGAAGGACGGCAGTGAAATTCAGGTGTTCCCCAAAAACAGAAGTGGTAGGTCACATGATGGTGGTGGGAGGAGAGAGAGGGATGCAGGATGGCCATCCGGGGCATTGGATGGCCACATGTGGATCTGTATGCATTCCCAGAACACTGCCAAAACTGGAGCCTTGTCCAAGGGGTGGAGATGAGTGTAGCCCCAGAAATAGGTGTGTGAGCTCCAGGTTGGACTGGACCAGGCATTGCTAGGGTCTCAGCTTGGGGCAAGGCTGCAGACATATTAAAGATGGGTTGAGAGTTAGACCTTAAAATACTGGAAACTCATGGACCCAAGAAAGGCAGTAGCCAGAGGGGCTGCTGTCCTTCTCCCAGGGAGGAAATCCAAGAGGCCAGCGTGTGAGAGGTTCATCCTCACCAAGGCAGGCATCTTCCTGGCTGCTGCAGATGGCGCCCTGCACCCATCAGCGGGCCTTTCCCACTGGCGTTCTGTCCAGTTGGGAATTCTTTCTAGGCTCACATGCCATGGATGTTCTTGAGACAGTGCAGATGTGGCTTCCGTGTCTGGTGGACCCACCGAGGTACCATGCTTCATCTGTGTGCCTCCTGATTGAGGCTGCTTGCCGGCATCTGGGTGTCCGGTGCAGATTAGACCACTGTGGTAGAAAGAGGTAGACAATACCTAGTTGTATGTTTTAAAAATAGGCCATTGGCTTCTATTTTGGCCTGGGTCTAGGACAAGGCTCAGGTCTGCCTGATCTGTGGGCAGCTCCCAACTTCCTGCTTTGGTATAATCGTCCATGGCTAAGGCCTAATTCCAGACATACTTCTTGGGCCCTCCCCTGTGACGTTTGGGGTGTGTGGTCAGAAAGCCAAGACTGATTCCTGTCCTTATTTAGCCATTACTAGCCACCATCAAACAGAGGTAACTTTTGGACCTTCTTGACTTGAGGTCACCTCTGTTTTCCCAGGCACGGCGAGCCATCAAGAGCTGACGTGGTCATCCAGTAGACAGCAGAGAGCAATGTCTTGGCCTCTCTGCTTCCTGGGTGACGTTGGGTGATTCCTTTCTCTCACTTCCCGGCATCATTTCCCCATCAGTCAGATGCAGGGGGATGGGCTAGGCCAGGTACCTGGCCTGATCCTTCCTGGCCATGATGCTGAACCGCTCAGGCTGGGACACTGCCAAGGGGAAAGGGTATCTCTCTGGAAGGAGGTACTGGCTGCCCATTTCCGGAGTAGGCCTGCTTACAACAGGAATATTAGCTATTGATTGCTGGCCCTGCCCTTCACTAGTATTGCAGCCGGCCACTCTGATATTAGAAGGGAAATAGAGATGGTATCGAGGATTTTATCTGTTACCAACAATTGCACTCCTTCCCCTGCTTGGCCAAGGCCTGGGTAGGAAGCTCTGCTGCAGAAAGGCTTTGCACCAGGGAGTCGGCTTGGGATGGCTGAGCCAGCTATGGCCAGACCCTGGCCTAGGGTGGCCAGCCCAGTTTTCAGGTCAGGACTTCACCCCTAGCCTGGTCCTAAATGTAGAAGCCCCAGGCCTCCAGGGTTGGGTGGGAGAGAGCAGCTGCCCACCTCCATCCCAGCCCCTCGGTAAGCAACACAGGGCCTTGCTTCTGCAGGCCTCTGACTGCCAGGCTTCAGCTCCTGGGGTCAGAAGTTTTGGCCACCCACAATGAGGGTTGGCCATCAGCTTTCTCTTCTTCCACGTCCAGGTTTCCAAGGCGGGCAGTACCTGTCTGGTCCCGTGGCATGAGATGTCTCTGGTAGCAAGTTAAGGGCTGGCAGGGAGATGGCTTGGAAACTGACCTGACCACACCTCACCTTTAAAAAAAAAAAAAGCCCTAATATTGGCATCCCCAGCACCTGGCATATACTAAGGACCTAGTAAATGTTTGAACTGAGTTTATTTGTATTGCTCACATTACAGAACAGGAGCCCAGGCAGCCCCAAAGCACTAGATCCAACATTCTGATCAGGGAGGGCCTAACAGGAAGCCAGCTTGGGAGTTCAGGAGTGGTGTTCTGGTGTTTTGCAGCAGGGAAGGACAGAGAGGACTTGGCCGCATACTTGCTGAGTGACCTTGGGCAAGTTGCTCCCCATCTCTGGACCCTAGTTTTCTCACCAGTAGATGGAGCAGGCTGGACCAGGTGGTCTCTGAGGGCCCTTCCAACTTTGATTTTCTGCTTTGGATCCAGATGGATTTTACATAATCAAGCAGTGGCATTTTTTTTTTCCACGCAGCTTAGCTCGGTTGGGCTGCACATCTGGCAAACCCAGCTTGGCTTTGGCCAGCCTCACTGATCTGGGTGGGTTCCCTAGTTCCCCCTTAAGGGGGACACTGTCCAGTAAGAATTTCTAAGTTCCTTGGCCCTAAGGTGGTCCTAAGGAGGGCACTGTCCAGTAAGGATTTCTAAGTCCAAAACGGGACTCACAAGAGGGCAGGGGTCATAGAGAACTGAGCATTGGGTACAGGCTGTTTTTCTTCTTGTTTTGTTTTTAAATTCCAATAGTTGTTTTCAGTTACATAGTGTTTTTAAACATGCAACTTACTTTCATTTTCATCACAGTGTTTCTGCAGAGAAGGCATGCAGATTGGGAAAGTGAGACTCAGAAAGGTGAATGACTTGCCCCAAGTTAACCAGGGGCTGTAATCAGAGTCTAAACCCAGCTTTCCTGGTTCCTCATGGGGTGCTCTTCCACAAACACTCCAAAGTCCAAATGTGGATGCACATCTGATTGGATGGCGGAAGCAGGGAGAGTAGAGAATTAGATAAAAGGAGGGAGAGACCGAAAGGAGATAGAGAAACCATAACTCTTATCTAAAGAAGTAGCAAAGAAGTCCCCATTCAAATGCCAGCTCTGCTTGATGTGTGGTGGCTGCTGAGAACACCGTGAGAATGATTCTGAAGCTGTGTGTCCAGGCTCAACAGATAGTGACTGGCAATGTCTACCATGAACGTGAATGTGTCGGTGGTGGTACATATCCTCTTTGCCATCCCTGATGTAGTCCAAGCTTCTCATTTATAGATGGGGAGATGAAGTCACAGAAGGAGAAAGGACTGTGGTTATGACTGTCATTGACCGTCTCTGATATGCAAGGCATGGGGCTTGGTTCCAGGCTCGAACTGAATCAACCATAGTCTGCCCACAGGAGCAGCCAGCCTAGCAGAGAGACTGACAGGTAACCCATCCCCTGTGGCAGGACACAGGAGAGGCCTGTCTGCCAAGCTGAGAAATCAGGAGGGCATTCCTGGAGGCAGTGCAGCCCTGGCTGAGATGGTGTCTAGAATGAGGTGGTTGACAGGTGCTCAGCGGGAGATGAGGCTGGAGAGGTTGCCGGGCAATTGTTGAAGGACCTTGTTGAGTATGGGCTTGATCCAGTGGGCAGTGGGAAGCCAGGGCAGCACTCTGGGCTGGATAATGTCTTGGCCAGATCTGTGTTCCACAACAGTTACTCTGCAGTTGTTCCAGTGGCTTCGTGGAGACGGGGACTTGAGCACTGTGGCCAATGCTCAGAAAGTAGCTGACACCTTTTTTTTTTTTTTTTTTTTTTTTTGAGACAGAGTCTCACTCTGTCACCCAGGCTGGAGGGCAGTGGCGATCTCGGCTCACTGCAACCTCCGCCTCCCGGGTTCAAGTGATTCTCCTGCCAAAGCCTCCTGAGTAGCTGGGATTACAGGCGCTCACCACCATGCCCGGCTAATTTTTGTATTTTTAGTAGAGATGGGGTTTCACCATGCTGGCCAGGCCGGTCTCGAATTCCTGACCTCAAGTGATCCGCCCACCTCAGCCTCCTCAGGCTGGGATTACAGGCCTGAGCCACCACGCCCGGCCAGGAAGTAGCTGACCATCTTGATGATGGATGCTGCGTGACAGAGACCCAGCAGAGGTCACAGGGTTAAAGACTGCCTTCTCTGGAAAAGTCCTGGAGGAGGGGTCCCAGCTCCTGTTGCCAAAAGCTTAGCTCATCCTGCTTTGAACATCTAGATACTTGCCATCTTGGTGAAGGATAGCAGGGACTTTCCACCTTGGTGAAGGATAGTAGGGAGTATTTGACACATCCCCTTTCCGTTGAGTCCTCATTCCTGCCAGCCAGGCCCACCAGCCTTAGAAAGATGTTGAGGTCCCTAGAGAACTCTTCCCATTGGTTATGGGGAGAGAACGAGAAAGAGCAAACAATGTGTGTAGCCCAAAAGCCGGAGATATGACCCAGACAATAAGAGGGGAGAGAAACTTGCATGACCCAAAATCTTTCCCCATCTCCTGCAGAAGTAGCTGGGGTTTCTCTGGGAGAAGGGCAGCCTCCTGAGGGCTCTGATGGCTGTCTTGAAGTATCTGAAGTTCTGTTACGGAGAACCTGCCATGTACTCAGACATGCCCCTGTGAGCTCTCAGCCCCACATTCCAAGTCCTTGAGAGAAAAGGGAAGCCAATTTGAATCATTGTATGGAAGACATTTCTGTCATCTGCCAAATTAATGATGAAGTGGTGAGCTGTTTGACAGTGGTGGTAACTAAGCAGTGGCAGGATGCCCAGTGGAGAGCCTTGGGCACTGTGAGCTGTGGGGTGGGTGATGTGTTCACAGGGAGGGTCAAAGCCCAGTAAATGAGAACATACCCCTGGCAGCAACTGGGGCAGTTCCCAAAAGCTGAGCCAAATGCTGTCCATTTCCTGCCCTGCTCTCCAGCGGGAAGCAGGAGCCAGCAGAGGGAGCGGACATTCCTCCTGCCAGAAAGCTGCTGCAGCAGGAAAGGCCTCTCTTTGCTGACGAGGACAAGTTTGTGACAAGGGGAGACTTGGGAAGAATTAAACCACCTTGTTTGCTTTTGGTTTCCGAAGCCTGTTACTAGTGGAAGCTTGGTGGCGGGGCGCTGGGGTCCCCACCCATCTGACAGATGGTGAAGTGAAGGCAGGGCAAGGGAAGGAGCTGAGTCCCCGTCATGTGAGACCCGGACGGGCTTGCTTGGTCGTCCCTTAGCCCCTCGGTCAGACGTGGTGTGTAAGGGCAGGGACCTGTCAGCCACCCAAGAGGCAGCCACGGACCCTGCCCTCAAGGGGCTCATAGTCTGGTGGAGGGGGCAGGCAGTGACTGAGTGCCACGCTGGAGAGGTTGACAGGAAGAATACCGTTGGGGCCAGGCACAGGGCACAGCCAGTATGGCTTGTCTGGGGAAGCCTCTCCGAGGGGGTGACATTTGGGCTGAGGAGGAGGAGGCAATTGGCAGTGAATTGAGGTGGGGGAGTGTGCCAGGCGAGAGGGAGCCTGTGCCAGGATGTGATGGGGCAAGTTTGGGGTGGCAGGGGCCTGGACTGCAGGCTGGGGTGTGGGGATGGAGCCAGGAATAGACACAGGAAGGACTTAAAGTTGGGGAGAGCCATGAAAGGTTCCTAATAAGGGGAGCAACGCGATCCCAGGAAGAGGTTCCATGGCCTGGAGGGGCTGGGCCCTTGGCCGGCTGGCCAGTGTGGAGTCCAGCTGCGGTCCCCTCTGGAGGTGGCCATGGCCCGAGCAGGAGTGGCGGCTGGGTGAGACTGAGGGCAGCTTTCCTGCCTGTGACTGGTGGCCTCTAGTGGATGTTGGAGCCTAAAGGAGGCCCAGCTTACTGCCCACATAGGTTGGGGGCAGGAGGCAGGTGTGACGGTGAGAAGCCAAGGCTGGTGCCTGCTGTCTTAGCAGACGCCTTACCTGGGGCTGCCCAGCCTAGCCCTCCCCACCCACCCCAGCCAGTGCTCTCAGGCCTGAGAGTAGAACTGTCTGACACCCTCTTATGTTAATAGTTGCTGGTGGAAGCACTCTCCAAGTCAGAAAAGCTGTTCCCTGCTGTGATTTCATTTGATTCTATGAGATAGTCCTAAGAACCAATAGCATTCCCACTGTATAGATGAGAAACTGAGGCTCAAATTGGCCAGTTGCTCAGGAAGACAGGCCTGGGTGGGGCGGTGGGATCCGCAGCTTCTTGATAACTGCCTGTCTGTGGGGAAATAAAACCCCCTCCCCATTCTGGGTCTCGCCTGGCCCTCTCTGCTTCCCTGCAGGTGGGGGGAGTCTGTCTGATAGATGCAGCCTCCTACTGGGGAAGAGGACAGAGGTGCTGTGTCAGGGGTGGATGTGTTCACTCCTCCAGGGGACAGAAGCACCACCCCCTCCAGCTCCTCCGCCCTGCTGTCCGCCTCCAGACTGACAGAAGGCAGGGTCACCCCTGCTGAGAAGGATTAGAGAGGAGGTGGGGCGCCCCAACTGCTGGGCTCCAGGCCACAGTTGGAGGTGGGGAACCACTGCTCTTCCCCACCCCTAGGCCCCACCTGTTCCAAACTGACTTGGCTCTGGGAGCGGCAGCCCCTCCTCTAGTTACTGTGATGAAGCCCCCTATCCTGGGAGTGGGACACTCTGGGATACCAGCCCTGCTGCCAAATTCCTGTGTGTCCTCGGGGAGCCAGCCTTCTCTCTCTTGGCCTTAGCTTGCTCCTCTGTCCAGTGGGGGGTGCTGGCCACTTGGAAGCACATGGGTCCGGGCTGGTCCTGCCCTCCACAATCTCCTGGCCAGTGAAAAGAGGCCTGGGGCAGAGGAGAGGGAAGAAAGCCTTTTTTTGCTTGCCAACACCTCCCCTGCAAAGGTCAGGCTGTGCTCCCTTCCCTGCCCGGCAGCCAGCCTGGTGCCTGACGTCTGCCCAGCGGCAGATGACCGGCACTGGGGCTCCTAGCAACAGTGGACAAAAGGTTACTCCTGACGTGCCAGGCTGCCTCGGCGGCGGCTGGCTCAGCTCAGTCGCCCTCCCTCTTAAATAGGAAAAAAAGTTGTGGCCCTGACTTGTGTGCGTGCCTGTGTGCACGCATGCCTGTGTGCACGCATGTGGATATGTTTGTGTCTGCACACTTGAGCCGCCTCTCCCTCCCCCTCTGAAAAACGTGAACTCCACATGTAGCGCCGTAACTCTCACTGATGAAATGGAAAGTTGAACATAAATCAATGTCTGCCGCCCAGTTAGCTATGCATCAGCAGGCAGCGCCTGGGAGATTTGCTCGGTAACAAAGCACCCAACAGCTGCTTGGGCCTTGACTGCCCCCTAACGCAGAGCCAGCCCCATGCTACAGAGCCCAGCTGGGCTACACACCACGTCCTCCTGGCCTCCCAAGTGCAGGATGGGACTCTCACTCCTCTCTTCAACCTTTTGAGGGAGGGAAGGGGGAAGGAGTCTCTGGCCTCTTGGACTTGGGAGGCCTGGGCTCTGTTCTTGCTGCTGCTCCTGGCGAAGCCCTCACTGGGGGTGTAAACTGACTCCCGAATCTCTGGCTTCTGTGGATCTGATACTGGAAGGATGGGTGTCAGTAGCTGCGTTCACCTCATGCTTATTAAGAGCTTGGGCTGGTTTATCCTTTCTCCTTTGGACCTGAGTTTTTACTTTGCGTTTTCTTAGAATGGAGTGATTTTTCCCTGTGCCTGGAAGCTGCTCTGCCGCAGGTCGGCAGTTCTCCCAGCACTGTACCGTGGCTGCTCCCTCTGCCCCCACGAGGTCCTTCTGTCCTTCATAGGGGGATGGGAGTGGAGACCCCTGCGGGGCTGGAGAGTATTTTTGTTTTGTCTCTTCATAGCTGACTGAGGGGTGGACTCTCTTGCTCCTGTCCCCACCTACCTTCTCAGCAAATTGTACTGAGGTTTTTCTCCCTTTTTTTTTTTTTAAAAAAAAGGTCAAATTCCTTAGCCCTTGTAGCAGAAGAGGTTTGAGGAAGAGAATTCCAGCAGAATCCTGTAATAACACGCCTCGGCATGACATGGATCAGGATAGACCCCCTGAGTAAGCTCATGCCACAGTGGGAGGAACCTCCCCTTCAGGGGAGTCTGGGCTGGGCTCTGGGCCCAGGCACTGCCCTGGGGGTCAGAGGCCATTCCAGCATCTAGCTCAGTGTGAGGCACTGTTCTAAGTGCAGGGAACCACAGTATGGGGTCAGGTTCATGTCCTGTTTCTGCCTAAGTTAACTCCCAGGCAACCTCTCCCTGAAACACTTCCTCTCCCAAAGAGGGCCTTAGAATCCATGAAGCTCCTAGGCCAGGCCCACCTGTGATCCTGTAAACTTTTCTCTCAGAAAAGCCCCATCTCAGGCTAGGCATGGTGGCTCACGCCTATAATCCCAGCACTTTGGAGGTCAAGGTGGGCAGATCACCTGAGGTCGGGAGTTCGAGACCAGCCTGACCAACATGGTGAAACCTCGTCTGTATTGAAAATAGAAAAATTAGCCAGGCATGGTGGCATGCGACTGGAATCCCATCTATTCGGGAGGCTGAGGCAAGAGAATCGCTTGAACCCAGGAGGCAGAGGTTGCAGTGAGCTGAAATCACACCATTGCATGCCAGCCTAGAGGACAAAGCAAGACTCTATCTCAAAAAAAGAAAAAGAAAAAGAAAAGAAAGAAAAGCCCCGTCTCTTGTTTCTTGCTCAAGACCAAATGGTGGGAAAGAGACTGGGGACATGGTGGGGTAGAGGGGCACACCCTTCATGAAGTGCCAGGTCTGTATGCAGCACAGGCATGGGGTTGGGAGGGCACCCAGCTCGGCCGTCAGGGAGGCCGCAGAGTGGCTGTGAACAGGGTCTTTGGAGCACGATGGCCCTGCACTTGGCTGGCAGTGTGATCCTGGCAGTGACCCAGCCTCTTCAGGCACTGTTTCCTCAGCTGTGCTGTAGGAACAGTCGCGCAGCAAATCCTACCGTGTCCTTTTTGGAGCTGTGGTGAGGATTGACTATACATATAAACCTATATTCAGGCCACACGTGGTGGCTCATACCTGCAAATCCCAGCACTTTGAGAGGCCGAGGCAGGAGGATCGCTTGCAGCCAGTTTGAAACCAGCCTGGGCAACATAGACCCTGTCTCTACAAAAGAAAAATTAAAAAATTAGCGAGACTTTGTTGCATAGGCTTGTAGTCCCAGCTGCTCTGGAGGCTGAGGTGGGAGGATGGCTTGAGCCCTGGAGATTGATACTGCAGTGAGCCTCGATCACACCACTGCACTCCAGCCTGGGCAACAGAGCAAGACCCTGTCTCAGAAGAAACTCAGAAATCTACATTCATGTCAGTAATGGTTTATTATTACTGCTGTGGAAAGATGACTGGGCTTCAGGATCCGTGTTGACCAGCAGCTAAGCCTGGAGCTCCCAGCGTGCCAGTCAGCTCATCTGTCCCTTCTGTCTTGGACAGGGAGGTGCTGGGTCCCATCCCTCCTTCACCTTCTGTGAAGGTGATCCATGCTTCCTGGTGGCCTCTGGTGTCACACAGCCTGGGTGGGCACATGGGTTTCCTCGAGAAAGTCAGTTCACCTCTCTGAACCTCAGTTGCTTCATCTGATAATTGGGGGCGATGATAGGCCTTGACATCTTAGGTCGGCTGCGAGAATGCCGTGAGATGATGTGTATGAAGCCCCACCTGGTGTCTGTGCTGGGTTGGCTCTCGAGACTTTAGAGTTGTTGTAGGCGTGTCTGGGACTGTACTGTTCTAGAGGCCCAGGTCTTTCAGTTTACCCAAGAACAAGAGCTGCCTCAGGGTTTCTCCTCTTTCCAGGAGGGAGTCTTAGGGGCATGGCACAGCCTTAGTGACATTGATGTGTGGAAGAGGTTCTGGGTATTTTTGAGATCCGCTAGCTTTTTAGTGTTTAACCCTTCAGTTTGACCAACATATTTGACACACCTAAGCACCAGGCCCTGTTTGGCCCTTTAACACGTTACTTCCCTTCATCTTGTCCACCTGATTTACCTCCCTTAGCCCCTGCCACCTTGACTCCTAGTGCCCTGCTCCACCGCACAGGAGCTGCCGGGGGAGGTCGAGGCTGGGAGGCAGGTGTTGTGTGTCTGGGACCCTCTGATTCTTTTCCTCCCGGGCTTGCTACCATGAGTCTGATGGAGACCAGCTCTGACCTGGGGAGCTGGGTCTTCACCTGTGCGCCTGCATTCTGTCACTGGTGAATTTCACCTGAGTATCATTTGAGTTTGCGTTCCCCACCTGTAAAGCAGAAGCAGCTCTCCCTGGTTCATCTGGGAGATGAACACTTGTACCAGCATAAGGTGTGTGGTCAGAATGAATGGCAGATGGGAAATCCGACAAGTGCTCCTTCCCAGAGGCTGACATCTGGTCATTCCTTCCTTCAGCATACATTCATAAGCCACGGCTTTCTGCCCAGCCCCGCTGTGCTCCCAGGGTTGGGAGGTAGGGCAGCCTCTGGCCCCCACACAATCATCGTCCACAGGGCAGACCTAGGCTAGGCTAACCAAAGGTGAGCATGTGGCTCATTCTCCTCTGTCAGGTGCTCTTCCTACCAGTGGTGCCCCTTCATTAGAAGAATGAAGTCAGAGCTCTTTGTGGTCTAGCCCTGCTACCCTCACCCCACTGTTGGACCAGCTGTTGTTCCACAGGGCAAGCACCAGAGCTGCTGGCTCTCAGACCTGGCCTCTGCCCCTCCATCAGTCTGCTGGGGATTGTTCTATAGGCTGCAGCCTTCTCCTCTCCCCTTCTTGAAGCTTCTTCCCTCTCAGGTCACTTTTATTCAAGAATACTTTGACAAAGTCTTGCCCTTTCCTTGGCCCAAGGTCAAAAAAGTTATGTCCAACATGCGTATCTAGCTAAGTTCCGATTCGCTAGATTAATTGTAATAGCCAATCCCAAGGAACTTACTCTGGAGCTGTAGAAAAGGTCCAAGAGCTTAGGAACTTCGGTCTGTTTTGGGAAGCAGCTTTCCCTTCCTGGACCATAGTGTCCCCACCTGTAAATGCAGCAGTGTTAGAGAGCGTGGATATAAGAGTCCAGTGGTGAGCAGAAGAGACCTGGCCCCTGTCTTCTGGGCCGTCAAGGGCTTTGGGGGCAAAAGAAATGGGGGACTACTTCTAGGGCCAGATGACTCTGGTGGAGTTTGCTGAAGAGCACCCAGCATTGGGTGGAGTTTCTCTTGTTGAGGGGCATGCTTCCAACCCCAAGAGCAGCTCAGATTAGGACAGCTTACGTGTTGTAGGCAAGAGGGGTAGCTCCGTGGGCTAATAAGGAAGGCTGTGTGAGGTAATAAGGAGGGCTGAGCCAAAGAAAGGAGGTTCCTGAAGGATTCCACGAGGCGGGGCAGATTCCGAGCCACAGCTTGGTGTATTAAGAGCTACCCTTGGTAAGGGCTGAACTAAGTACTTGACTCCTGATAGTTAGACAGTTCTCTGTGAGGCAGGTAGGGTGACCACATTTTACAAGGGAGATAAGTCAGTTTCAGAGGGAGCTATAGGCCGAGCTCCAAGCCCCATGAATCTGGGGCTTTTCCAGCAGCACCACAGAGCTGCTTCTCATTTTCCGTCAAGTTTGCCAGGTATTGTTGCACCTGCCCGTGTGACTGTGGGCCCGACCTCCCACATCTGTGTCTCCCAGAGTCCTGGTTCTTCCCCTGCTCCATCCTGTTGCTTCATCTTAACAGAGGAAGGAGGAAGAGGTCTTGGGCCATTCCCCAAGCTCCTCAGGGAGGAAAAGGCATGAAAAACTACCGAGTTTTCCAGGGGGCTGCAAGACTGAAAGGGAAAAACTTGGCAGACTTTGCTGTTCCGTTCTTAGCCCTCTTCTGCTCAGTGGGCAATTGGGGTTGAATTAGGGGCATTCTGGATTTGTGGTTTCCAAGGCTTTGCAGCCCCCCTTCCTAGTTGGATATGACGAATCATTACTTTTTATAACTGTCGGGGGTGAAGGGGCAGGGCAGGAAGGCTGTGTGCACCCGTGTGTCTGGAGAGCTTAAAAGTGGAGCAGGAATTCTCTGGGTGGATGAGGCAGTGCCTTCTTAATATGCACATCACCTTCGCTGTGTTGTCATGATTAACAGTGGAGCCTGAGCGCTGGCGAGCGGTGGCGGAGGCCGGCGGGCAGAAGTGGGATGTGTCTTTGCAGCACTATCCATTTTCAGAGCTGAAGGAAATCTGTTCTGGGGGGAGAGGATCAGTTTGGCAAGGCCACGTTCACCCCATGTTCCAGAGGACTGGAGTGGGTCTGGATCCCGGGCCCATCTCTTCCTCTCCAGGCTTGTCTCTCCTGCACCAGTAGAGGTCAGGGAGAGAGAGGGGTGCTGTCTGGACTCTCCCCGTGGGGCACAGGATTCCTAGCTTCTGTGCCAGCATTAAAGAAGGCTGGGAGATGGGCATGGTGGCCCATGCCTGTAGTCCCACCCGCTTGGGAGGCTGAGGTGGGAGGATTGCTTGAGCTCAGGAGTTTGAGGCCAGCCTGGACAACATAGCAAGACCCTGTCTTTAATTTTTTTTTAATAAAGAGAGCTGGCTGTGCAGGGCTGGGATGTGACTTAGCGGGGCAGCAGGTAGGATGGAAGGAGCCACTCACAGATGGGAATCTAATAATTAGTCTCCAACTTGAGAGAGGGTATAGAAACATCTTTGGAAAGGAACAGAATAGATATGTGATTCCCACGATACAGATCGTATTGCCATTTCCTTGGTCAAGCCCCCAAATGTTAGTATCCTTCCCCTTGGCCTGGTGGTCCCATCCCCACCATCTTGTGCATGAAGTCCTCTAGAACCACACCCAGGCCTGCCTTTGGGCTGCATAAATGCCATCCTCACGGTCCAGAATCCCCTTCCTTTTCTTCTCTGCCAGGAGACACCTGTTCATTCTGCAAGTCCTGCCTAAATGTGACTGTTCTGTGGTCACTGCTCCCTCACTCCCCAGTGCACTGGTATCTCTGCCTCTATTAAAGTGTTGCACCCTGGTCTCACTGGCCAGTCTGGAGCTCTTTAGGGAAGGGCAGAATACTGCTTGTTCACGTGTCTCCGGCACTTAGCTCAGGGTACTGGGACCTAGTGCCCAGTTAGAGTGACTGCCAGATAGAGGTGGGCTCTGCACATATGTTATGGATATTGGGCTGTGTTCTTGAAAAGAGTGCCCTGTTGTATGGATACATGTGGAATACACGGAGAATCTCCAGCAGGAAAGCCCTCCTTAAGCATTTAGTGGCTGGAGGCAAAGTCACGTCTCATATCCTGGCCCTTCCCAACCACAGCCATTCGAGGTGGAGCCTTTTCCTGGCTGAGATGACCCCAGAGGATCTAATTCTTTGTGAATTCACACCACAGGAAAGGGTCCAAACGGTTTGAACCTGCCAAAAGAACTCAAGGCTGGGATTCAAGCTCCCAGAATATTTGTGCTGGCAAACAAGGGGAAGGGCTTCTTCCCCAGCATTGTGGCAAGAATGAAACTGGGGACACCATCAGCAAGGAGGGTTGTGACCAGCCAGCTGGACGTGAGCGCTGGGTTTTGTGTTCCGATGATGCACTATCACTGTATTCGGGAGCAGTGGCCAAGAGACCAGGGCTCATTGATTAGTGAGCATGGAGGGTGTTGGTGTGACAGCCAAATTCAGGTGTGCTGATGCCTGGCCAGTGCTCATTCTGTTTGTCCTCAGGGGCATAACATCTTGGCTCTGATAATTAATGCCTTAATGTCACTATACTTCAGTTTTCCCCCTTTGTAAAATGGGGTCAACTTTTGCTTCATTTGTCTTACAAGAGAAATGTGAGGTTAAAATCAAAGTGTAGCACTGTTTTGTTTTTCCTTGAGAATTACAGAAGACTCCACTTTTTTCCCTCTTCAGTCTTGAGGACCATCATCTAACTCAGGGGTCTGCAGACTTTTTCTGTGAAGGGACAGCTAGGAAATAATCTTAGACTTTGTGGGCCATCAGGTCTTTGTAAGCAGCCGTGGACAGAACATGAGTGAGTGTGGCTCTGTTCCAACAAAACTTTATTTGCACTGTGTTCCAATAAAACTTTATTTACATTGTGTTCTAATTAAACTTAATTTATAAAAACAGGTGGCAGGCTAGTTTGACCCTGACTTGACTGTAGCTCAGCCTGGTGGCTGTGCTCTTGGGGTCCTTGTGCTGCAGCCAAGACCAGCCTTTGCCCTGGTATGCAGCTTGGTGCGAGGGACCCAGCCTAGACTTTGAAGCAGGTTGGACCTGGAACCAATGAGATCACATCTCTGAGGCTCAGTCTTCCCATCTGTATCATGGCAGTCGCAGTCCAGGCGCTGGAGAAAGAGGCGCTGGCAAGCAGTGTGTGGAGGAGCTATGCGTTAGGTTTTGGACGCTGCCTATACTTTTCGTTTGCCATGTTTCCTCCCTTTGTTTGGGAAACCATCACTTGCTGATTCTGTTCCGCCAGGAGGCAAGTGAGTTTCATGCCTGGTGAGCAGAGCCTTCACTGAGCGCCCCCTGTTCACGCCTCAGCAGGGCTGTCCAGGGAAGCCAGATTCCTAATGGTGCAAACCCTGAACCCTTGCTGTCTGCCCAGTGCTGCCCTGGCTCCTTGGAGAGACTGCTAGGAGGAAGGGAGGTCGGCTGGGGCCTTTGCTCACACGGAAATCAATGAACCATTTGCTCACCTTTGCAAGGAGTGGACCTTGGTGGCTGTAAGGATCCCTGGTATTTATGCAGAGATGAGTATGAAGGGGAGATGCAGTACATTCCTGCTTTCTCTAACTGGTAACTTCCCCACCGTCCCAGGAAGATGGTCCACACCATTGCCAGACCTCTAAACCCAGCCCTCTCCTTGTCCTCTCCCCACAAAGGGCCATTGATTGTCATGGGCTCTTCTGCTGGGTAGCCAGGAGCCCCACCTGACTGTGAGCTCTCGGGGACCACGCAGAAGCCCGGGCAGTTATTCCACTGCTGTGTGGCCCAGCTCAGCCCCCTGAGGACCCACCTACCGTGCATGTGCCAGGCCCATGCTGGGTGTGCAGGCGGGCAACTTAGTCACCTTCTGCCCTCAAGTTGGTGTCTCAGCCCCAGCTCTGGCCTGTAAACACACACACACATACACACCCTACATAACACACACACACCCACACCCTTCACACAACCCCTCTCCAAGCCATGCCAAGTTCATTCCCATGGGTTGAAATGAAGAAATAACGTTTCCGCCAAAGACTGCATGTAAAATTGACTTGCTTTCCCTTCCTCCCCCCATCTGGTCAGCTTCCCTTTCCTTGGGGGCTGTGGGTGAGGCAGACCATGGTGACAGATTCCGGATGTCCATGGCACCTGAGCACACCTTGACCTTCTCCCCAGACTGAGCTTACGCCATTTTCTGTCGGTATTTGGGACCAAGGAGCAAATTGGATTGTCTATCAAGTGCCTTTTGCTGTGTATAATTATTGTAATTTTGTATTCACTCAATTAAAGCAACACACCTAACAGGCAGATTACACAGGCCGCCAGTACCGCAGGTCCTCTGCGTCCCACTGCTGGTCGAGAAAACCCACTCCTTCAGCCTCTCCAGAGCAGTGGCCGGTGTCCTAGGAGTCAGGAGGGACGAGGATGTGTGGAGTGTTTTATCTCTTAACAACCTAAAACCTCAAGTCCCCTTTCCTCAGCAGCCTTCTGTGAAGACAAAAGGCGGATTTGGCTGGGTGGTAATGGCGTCTGTCTGGGTAGCTGTCAGCAGTTTACAGAGAACTCTCACAGCTTTCGTGACCCGTGAGAGAATCATAGCCTATACTCCCCACCTCGCTTGAGGGATGCTCTGCCAAGACCCAGGGCGACAAGGCCAGGACTCCAGCCCTAGTGCTTTTTGGGTTTTGGGACCAGTGCCTTCAGCACAGGTCACAGCCTGTCCTCACACTTCGCCTCCCAGGCATGCCTCTGAACCCACAGAGCCAGGACTTGAGTCTCAGCTTTATTTCTCAGCAAGCCCATGACTTCTAGACAGGTGTAGGCAGATTTGAGGAATATGGGTGGCATTTGGGGAAGAAGCAGTGAGTTTGGGGAATACTTAACACATAGCTTATTTTCTCCTTTAAAAAATCGGTGTAGGTTTATTTTGTTCTTGGTTTGGTTTTGTTTTGTTTCGTTTTTTTAGGCAGGTCTCACCGTCACCCAGGCTAGAGTGCAGTGGCATGATCACAGCTGACTGCAGCCTCCACCTCCCTGGCTCAAGGGATCCTCCCACCTCTGTCTCCTGAGTAACTGGGGCCACAGGCGCACACCACCACACCTGGCTAGCTTTTGTATTTTTTTGTAGAGACGGAGTTTTGCCATACTGCCCAGGCTGGTCTCAAACTCCTGGGCTCAAGCAATCCTCCTGCCTCGGCCTCCCAAAATGCTGGATTACAGGTGTAAGCCATGTGCCCAGCCTGTTCGTTTTGCTTTTGTTTTTGTTTTTGTTTTGGTTTTGGTTTTGGTTTTAAGGAGCTATCTTCCATCCAGCTCCAAGAATCTTTAGCTCAGAAGACCAACTTGGTCACCCTTTTGGTACTAACTTTTCTTCCTGGTTCCTATGAGCCCCAAGGTGTTAGATGTGCCTGCCCCGGGGCTTGCTGGGTCTTGCCCCTTGCCCATGGCAGTGTGGTCGCCTGCTGCCTCAGCCCTGCTGCTCTGTTTGGGCCCTGCCCCAAGGTACCTGTGGGGGTGAGTGGCCTGGCCTGGAGGGGTCCACATGGCACCCCCAGACATGGAGTAAGGAAAGGTTCTGTGTTTAGAGAGCACTTGAAGGGCTGGAGCAGGAAAGCCTTCATGAAAAAGGATATGTGGCCTTCAGCAGACCTGGTGAGATGAGGCCAGACGTCAAGCTCCTGCTTTCCTTGTAAAGGGCAGGCGAGTGGCCACAGGAGCAGGAGGATGGGGACCAGGACTGGGGACCCCGTGTGCCTCACACTGCCAGCTGTGCCACAGCCCTGCAGTGTTTGTGGAATAGTCCTCATTTCCTTTATGAGGGCAGTGAGGCTCAGAGCCGTTGGGAAACTGGACTCCGAATGAACCGGAGGAGCTGGGATTGGATCCCAGGCCCGCATAATGTGGGCGCTTCCTGTCACACCACAACCCGCCTCTCCAGGACGGCTTCAGATGAAGTGCAGGGACTTAGCCGGAGCGTGCGGGAGGGCTGGGGGTCCTGCTGATGCTTCTGAAATGCTTTTCCGCAGAGTCCTTGAATCCGTTTTACAGTGGGAATGCTCTGCTCCCCACGCTGTCAGTGTGGGTAAAGGCTTTTTCACTAACCATCAGTGTCCACACTTCGGAGTTTTCGTGAAGTGGCCCAGTGTTTGCCTCGATCACACCCATAACAGAGCCTCCTGGGCCCTGCCTAAGTGGCTCTCAGGAGCTGCTGGATGGAACACTACCCAGTGCTGAAATTACAGGAGAAAGAATAACAAGAAACTGCGGGAGTTAGTTGTCTCCACTCAGAGATCTTGGGGCCAGCTGAGATGGAATAGCGAGTCCATTAACAGGGTCCAGGGCAGCTGGAAGGCTGGACAGGAAGTGGGCGTGTTTCCTGCCTCCTTTTCCCAGATTCAGGAGTGGGGATTTTCCCCCATGTTGAGGTCTACCCCAGGGCTTGGTCCTGCTGCCATCACCCTGCAGAGGCAGTGCAGTGCAGTGGAAAGAGCTCTGACCCGTCAGTGGACCCCAGTTCTCATCCCAGTTCCGGTTGGCTCATGGGGGTACCAGGCCTACATGCTGTGGCCACACTGGGCCTCAGTTTACCTGTCTGGGAGTGAGAGGGAGGTAGGCATCACCCTCTCTTGGAGCCCCTGGCAGGTTAAGCCAACACTTAAGCTTATTTCTCTCTGTGTAATCGTTTTTGTCCTTAGCCTGGCAGCTCCTCAGGGTCAGGACAAGTCTGATGTGCCTCCAGACCCCAGCATGGGGCTGGCTGGCCACATAGGAGGTCAGCACCCGGCATCTCGGTGCTCTCCCAAGTCCTTCAGCCTTGGGTTCATTCCACTTTGCCCTTTGCTTTCTGCCCTGACAGATGACACGGAGGTGCTGCTCGCAGTCTTGTAGAATGATGGGCTACCCAGGACCCTGTTAGACTCTAGAATCAGACATCGAGGCCTGGCTCCACCACGTAATAGCTATGCAATCCTGGAGTGCCTTTATCTTTCCAAGCCTCAGTTCCTTGGCAATAAAATGGGGCAATTGATCCCTTACTGCGAGGAGTCCGGGATTAGATGAGCTTATGTAGGTAGAGGCCACGCTCCCTGTTATTGTTACTCTCACGGCCCCATTCCACTGTCAAGAAAATGGAAATGCAGTCAGGGGCAGAGCCAGGATTCGAACCCAGTTCCTTCCAAACCCTATTTCTTCATCTAAAAGAGATGCAAATGGGAATGTGATGTTTTGAGGAGAGCCCTGGGGTAGAGTTAGGAGATGTGGTTCAGATGCCAACTAGTTTTCTGTGGTCTTGGAGAGGTCACACCTCTGTCATGGGCCTCTCTTTTCTCCTCCCCTGCAAATGTTGGAGGAAGGGATGATAGAATCTGTCAAAGCCACCTAACAGGTGACCCCTGGGCAGATGCCGTTCTCCCTAAGCATCTAGTAAGGACCCCCAGCCACCCTAGTCTAGCCTGATATTTTGCACACCTTCAGGGTGCCATCTGCCCTGATCCACCGCATCCCTGGAAGGTTAATTAGGCAGCCTCTGGAACCGAAGGCATCCAGCTCTCATGGAGGGAGATGTTCTAAATGGAGCTGGGCCTGCTGGCCAAGCAGCCCTCCAGATGCACCCATTTTGGGTTCCTCAAAAGCTTCCAGCAAGTGGAAGCCTCACCAGAGATGTCCTGCATGGAAAAGCACATCAGTATCATCAGCTTTGAGACTCCCTCCTCCTCTCACCTTCCACCACAGTCCACTCTGCCTGCCTGCTGGGTCTGTTCAGAGTTCGGGGAAGAGAGCGGCCCCCGTCCCACCAAAGGTCAGAGCCCTCAATCTAGATCCTTTTTCATTGTTGTCTGCCTCCTGTGTAGCCTTTTGCCCGAGTGGGTAACAAATCCAAAAGAGCACAAAGTCCGTCTTCTTCAAACCTACCTGTGGATCTCTTGTTGAGAATGCAGGCTGGGAAGGAAGACGAGAGCACTTTTTGTGGCCTAATAAAACACAGGGCAGCAGAGCCCCTGACTCCTCATAGAGATGGGCAGCTCATCTGTCATGTTCCTTGCAGAAGCAAATGCTTCCACAAACACGGATCTCTGCCCGTGAGACTGCTAGGCTATGTGGGGTTCCTCCTGTGATGCCACAGGGTCTTAGGGACACAGCCTAGACACAGGGAACGTAGTGACGGAGCTCCGGGCTGAGTGGAGGTAGCAGAGACACAGAGGAGTTCTCTGTGGATGTGGACGTGGGTGGCCCGTTGGGAAATGGCAGGCGTCTGGCTCTGTGCCGAGAGGTGGGCAGGCAGAGCCTGTCAGCGCTTCACTGCAGGTGGGAGAGGAGCTCTGTGCCCTGAGGAGGTGGGCACTGAGCTTTTAGCTTGGCCTCTGTCAAGAATGTGGTATCATTTTTCTCCCTGAGTGACTGGCAGGCCTGGGCCAAGATTCCTGGTCCTCATCATTCCAACCCCTAGCTCCAAGTCAGAGGGAAGACTTCTAGCTGCTCTTCCCGCCCCAGATTTAACAGCTTGTTCCCCATGAGCCAGAGAGGTTGTGGGGCTGGGCTGGGGCCTCCCTGACCAGCCTGGCTCCATCCTTACTGCTTGTCAGCTTTTTTTCTTGAGGCAGCTGCGCCAAGAGCAAGCTTGTGCCACCTCTGCTTATCCAGGGACTGGTCTCCAGAGTCCCCCAGGGGCGCTTCTGAGGGAGGCGCAGAGGAGGCACACCTGCCAGCCTTGCTGTCTGGATCTCAGCAGACCCCGGTTGGAGCACTGGTCCTTTGTAAAGGCTGCCGTAGATTGAGGCCCCACCGTGTGCGCCACACGCCCTTGGGTGCTTCACTTCTGTTTTCTCTAATCTGTCAGTGAGCCAGCCTCCTGCCCTCCCTGACCACTGGGCACACAGGTGTGAGGGGCTTGCCCAGAGCCCCACTGCTCGCCCTGAGGAAGCACTCAGTTACCAGGAAGGGAAGGACGCGAGGGAGGAGGCACTCCCTTCTTGCCAAGAGCCGAGGAACCAACAGAAGGCCTTTTGCCCCCTCTTGGCAACTGGACCTTACCCTTGAACCTTCCTCCTCTGTTCTTTTCATATTTCTTTTTTTGGGGGTTGGCTTCAAATTATCTTGTTTTGTTTACATTACACCCAAGTTACGTGGTACAAAAGACTTGCAGGTGCAAATATGTCCCGCCTTCATTAACTCCCCTCCCTTTTTAATTTATGTGATTTCAATTTTCCTTCCCTGTACTGTTAATTAGGGGACCCTCTAATCAGTGCCATTATCACAGTGGTATTCATGTTTGGGAAAGCCGCTAAACAAATGCTTGCAAAATTGCTAAATGGCTAATTAATGTCTGTTAATTAAGAAAATTGCTCATGGTAACAAACCATGCCGTTGCTGGCAGCCGCTAGAAAGACACACACTTGTTGAAATTAGTAGCGTGGCAGGTAGGGGAACATCTGCTCCTCGGAGCTTTCCGGAAGTGAGCAGCTCCTCGCTTGGCCAAGAAACTCCCAGGCCTCACAGCGGCGGCGCCCTCGGGTTCTTGTACAGCCCCCTGCGATGTTCTCTGCACACCTCTTCTCTGTGGGCCCACGCCCCTCCTCCCCAGTGGGCAGGCGGCTGGCAGCCTGGCTCTGCAGGAGAAGGCCAAGGGGGAAACCCTACCTAGGCAGCTCCTCTCTCTTTTTAATTTAGCCACACTCACCCCCTGTGCACATTTTGAATTTTTCTAAAAACCAACCTCTAAAAAACAGCACAGTCATGGGTGGGGAAGAGCGAATGGAGGCCTGTCTCCTCATCCCTGGCATCAGCATCCCACGCTGGGTGGGCTGGAACGTGCTTCCGAGGCAGCCCTCCGCGCTTACTGACTGTGACCCATGGTAGGAGAGTCCTTTGGTGGTGTGACCCAGTCTACACACACATGAATATTTACACACAAAACCGGGGTTCATGAAAGACACCTGCCTTAAAATACACAAAGCTCTCTGACTTTTTTTTTTATTACCTCGGATTTTTAAGAGATAATTATTGCAGCTTGCTGAATTGCTGAGTGAGTTTCTACCCATAGTTTGTAACCCCAAGGTTGAAGTGAATTCATCTGCCCATGTCTTCTGGGGCGGGGTAGGGGGGTCGAGGTCAGCATAGCCCAGGGTTGAGGCGGTGGGGGTGGGGGTCAGCTTGGAACTGAGGTATGAAAAGGATAGCCCACCCAGTCGCCCAGCAGTCCGGGGTCCCCACCCTTCATGCACTTCCCCCTGTCCCCAGCTCTGCACCGGAACTCTTGGGTTTCAGGGCTGGAGATGGGCCTTGGACCCATGGGGCTTCTCATCCCAGCTCTGCCACTGACCAGTTTTATGGCCATGGCCAAGTTCCTTCATCCCTCGAGACTTAGATTCCTCATCAGTAAAAATTGGAATGAGAAACCCCGCCTCACAGGGCTGCTTTGAAGTGCAGGTGAATTCACGGTGTGCGAGTCTGTGCTGCCCACACCGTGTGGCCCTCACTCACTGTCCCCTCACTCCCTGTGTGTTACATCTGTGGTGCCCCTTGCTCCTCTTGCCTCTGTTGTTTATCTGTCGGTGCCCCCGGCCCTCCTGCCCCCAGGAAACCCGTCGCCTGGGCCTCTCCCTGACACTTGATCAGTACTGCCTCGAGTCACCCATAGCCGTGTCACTGTCCCCCAGACTGTGAGCTCCTTGAGGGCAGGGCCCTTCCCGATCTTTCCCCACCTCCCGTGCAAGCGGCACCTACGTGCTTTGCACCTGGGTCCCTGTGTCTGTGCATCATTGTACTCCCTCTGAGCCCGTCTCAACCAACGTATTTAACATGGCAAACTCCGCTCCAAGGGTAGGCTGTGTCCAGGACTGTACTCCCGTGTGCTTTGACAGAGGTGCTTCATTTTTTGTTCTTTCAACCCCCTGTGAATGTATTTATCAGCTTCTCTCGCTCCCGCTCGCCGTTTTACACCGTTGAGCCGGCGACCAAAGCAGCAGCTCCACCACCTCCCACCAACCAGAGCCCACCCCCCCGCACGCCCGCCGCCCACCCTTCGTTTTGGTTTAATTTTTGTTCTTTTAAGCTGCTTCTGCGCTTCTCCATGTGCTGTGATCTATAACCTGCCTCTACTGTCTGGCCTCACAGGGTCCTCCGGGGTCACAGCCCTCGCCGCACGCACAGCCTCCACCTCACAATCCTAGCAGCATGATGGGACCCCACAGTCAGGTAAACGCACCGTGGCGCTCCCGCCCGCCGGGGACGCGGGGCGCGGAGGAAGCAGAGAGCCCGCAGAGGAAAAACAAAAATCAAAATGTGCTCTAGCCACTGCCTGCGAGTCTTTATTGACAAATTAAATTTTTTTAGAAATTTCTTTTTTCTAAAGATAGTCTTCAGTCCTCGGATATCACACCCAGCTTGGATACGAAACCAAAAGGAAAAAATATATATTTCTGTGACCTTGTCAGCTGCCTTTGCGTTTTTGTTTTTTCCTCTCTCACTTTTGGTTTGGTTTTGAGTTTGGTTCACCATTTGTTTGTAACCGAAGCTGCATCCCGAGCCTTTTCTTTGTGCACTCGTGCTGCTGAGAAAGCTTTCCTGCCATTCCCCTGCATTAAGTTAGGGAGCCCGCTGTCTCCTTGGCGTTTCCCCCCCAGTCCTTGCTCCCCTCTCTGTCCCTGCTGGTGGTTTCTGTGTGCGTGTGCCTGTGTGCGTGCTCGTGTGTCCAGCTTTGTCTGCAGGCCCTTAAGATGTTACGTATCAGTCCTTCTTACCCTTTCATTTGCCCTTACCGAGAGCAGAGGTTTCCTCCTCCGCCCTGCGTTGATTTAACTGTTTTTCGTTTCTTATGCAAAGTCCCAGCCGCTGCCCTTCCCACCCAGAGTAGATCTCCACGAACAAATGTGGAGTCAAGAGACACATTTGTTGTGTGGATCTATTGTTCCCTCTGCCCAAAGGAAGTTTTGCTGTCAAAGGGAAGAGGCTAGCAGGAGAAAGAACTTAAAAGATCACTAGTTATAACAAAACTGGACTTTGTGGAGTGGAGAGCATTTGTGTTTGTCACTGTGCAGTAGGGCAGGCTGTCATTGAACTAATTACCTATAATTGCAGCCTTTTATGTCACCGCGATACGCAGGCGGCCCCAGGCCCCCGATCAGAATGGGAAACCAGGTACTGTACCTTTTCATGTTCTCTCTCCCCTCCCTCAGCCATCCTTGGCCCTAGGTGGACTTTGACACAAAATGAAAGTTGAGGGAAAGGATTGAGGGGTGGAGGGGCAGGTTTAACGTGGCTGGTAGCTTACTAGCTGTTCCCCAGAGAGGGCCCCATGTCCCCGCTGTGCCCATGGTGCGGCAGTTCACCTGCCTCTCCAGATGGCCCTTTGGACAGCCCATTCCAGAGTTCAGAAGGTGGCAGCAGATGGAGCTAAGGCGCATCTGGGATTGCAGGGTTTCGGCTATTCTAGAGAAGATGGTAATGCCCTGCCCCTCCCTTCTACCCCCTTCTTGGAAGAGGGTCTTCCTCCTTAATGAAGCTAATTGACAATGTGCATTTTTTCCTGGAAGCTTTTGAGAATTGCCAAGGCTGGTAAATATAATCCTGCTATTAGGGGGGGAAATGGCCCGTAGGAATGCTTAGATCAGGAGCCTGGATGCAGCAGAGCAGGAGATTTGTGAGTTTTTCAGCAATGTCTGCCTGCTTCCCAGACCCAACTCAAAACAAGAAAGGATTTGTTCGTGTAATTAGAAAAGGGGTCTGATTACGGGGAGGGATTTTTGCCTGGGGTCATATGCCTTACGCTGGCCCATTAGGGTTGGCAATTCTAGGTGGTCTGGAGAAATCAGACCCCATGCCACCCTCCCTGGTTCAGGGCAGGAGAGGAGTTGCAGAGGTAAATATGAATAGATGCCTCTTTTGAGGATAGACAGACTTAAAAGAAACTTTTCGAGAAACATCAGGGAAATTTTATGCCCCAATTTTTTAAAACAGAATTATTTCGGTGACTTTGCAAAAGCCCTTCAAAAAAATCTGACAGAAGCGCCAGCACATCCAGCCCTTGTTGCCTTTGAACTGGGAGTTTAGTCACCAGCTAAATTAGCATTGTCTGAGTGTGATGCTTTTCATTCTCAGGGCTCTGCAAGAAGGCTCCTGAGTGAGGTGATGCAGGGACTATGGAGAGATGCTCATTACCAGGGGTCTCCAATTGTCTTTTTTTTTTTTTTAACCGGAGTCTCGCTCTGTCTCCCAGGCTGGAGTGCAGTGGTGCAATCTCTGCTCACTGCAACCTCCGTCCGCCTCCTGGGTTCAAGCAGTTCTCCTGCCTCAGCCACCCAAGTAACTGGGATTACAGGTGTGCGCCACCATGCCCGGCTAATTTTTGTATTTATAATAGAGACAGGCTTTCACCATGTTGGCCAGCTGGTCTCAAACTCCTGACTTCATGAGATCTGCCTGCCTTGGCCTCCCACAGTGTTGGGATTACAGGCGTGAGCCACCGTGCCTGGCCAGCTCTCCAGCTTTAATGCTAAATTGCCTATCGGGTTCCCACCTTTTTATTTTGTTTTTTTTTCTCTCCAAAAGTCCTTCATTTTCTATTTTCTCTGACATGAAGGGGACAAATTTGGACAAGAGGAATTAGAGACCCAGCTTTTTGAGCAAAAGAAGGGATCCCTGGATACATCACAGATGAGGAAACAAAAGGTCAGAGTGGAGGAGTGACTTCCCAAAGTGAGCTGGGCTGGAGTTGATCTTGGTTCCAGCCCAGTGCTAATTGTACTCTACTCCACCCCTTTCCTCAGTTTTCACAGATGTAAGATTCCTGCCCCCATCTGTGTTTTTAACCCATCACCGCTGGGCCTGCTTTGCCGTGGCACATAGGGGCGCCAGCAGCAGCCTTCCCACCCAGGAGCTCTTCTTGGTCCAAACTGGCCTCTGCCAGGAAGAAAGGAGCTACTTCCTTATCATAATTGTGGTGGCCCTTCTTCTGGCAATTAAAGGATATGGAGAGGGGTGTGTATATTTCTACTCAGCAACTAAGCATGAGCAACCACTCAAGAGCAAATGGGGGATAAATCCATCATCTGTACTTTGTATTACACACCAGTTTTCCCAACCTCCCTGCCAACCACCCCCCCCCCCGCCCCCCCGCAATAGAAATCTACACTGGGGCTGGGCGCAGTGACTCACGCTTATAATGCTAGCACTTTGGGAGGCTCAGGCGGGTGGATCACTTGATCAGGAGTTCGAGACTGGCCTGGCCAACATGGTGAAACCCTGTCTCTACTAAAAATCCAAAAATTAGCCAGGCATGCTGGCGTGTGCCTGTAATCCCAGCTACCCAGGAGGCTGAGGCAGGAGAATCGCTGGGACCTAGGAGTCGGAGGCTGCAGTGAGCCGAGATTGCGCCATTGCACTCCAGCTTGGGTGACAGAGCGAGACTCCGCCTCAAAAAAAAAGAAGAAAAAAGATAAAAAAAGAAATCCACACTGGTTTTCCAGTTTCCTGTGACCTCAAGAAATTTCTATCCTCCAAAGAGGGATGTGCCCCTTCCACAGGTATTGACCCTGGGGCTTTCTTGAAGAGTGCCCTCGTTGGGTCTGCCAGTTAACAGAAGCCCTGTGCCACCCGAGTTAGCTCAGTTCTCTCCTGTGACGGGTAAAGGGAGCCGAGACTAGAGGACTTGCTGGGGCTCACAGGCCATTATGAATGTGCCTTTTGGGTGAGGGGAGTGAAAAGGGCCCTTAGGGAAACAAGAAGCAAAGGGTCAGTGATGTGGCCTCAGGGTCTTACGAGGCCTGCCTCCCATCTGCCTCCCTGGCTAGAGGCTGTGCATAGAGAGTTGCTGTTTTTTCAAGTGCGGGTGATTGGATGGGTGGTGACAGTGGAGTTCAGCCGGGTTTAGGAGAGAGTGGCTGGAATCCAGGGTTGTCAGAGAGCTCTCCCACACACATCTCGGCAGAGGTCCCACCTGGCAGGCTGGCTGTGCTGGCGGGGCAGGTGAGAGAGCATGCGGATGCAGCAGGGATTTG
This sequence comes from Homo sapiens, assembly GCF_000001405.40. Classification (NCBI taxonomy): domain Eukaryota; kingdom Metazoa; phylum Chordata; class Mammalia; order Primates; family Hominidae; genus Homo; species Homo sapiens. Next base: position 54,254,268 of record NC_000001.11, on the reverse strand, counting down.
TCCGTTTCCTGGGCAGATGCTTCCTGTGCCTTGCCCCACATGCAGTGCTGTAGGAGAAGAGCTGGCCTCCGTCCAGAAGCCCCAGAGCAACTCGCTCCCCTGTAGGCCCCAGGGGTGTGTGCACAGCGTGTAATTATGGTCCCATATATGAGCCGTTGTTTTTCCTCCTTAAGTTTGAGGGCTTCAGCCCTCTTAGTTTGAGACCCCTTTCCTTGGTCATTGCACACCTTCTTCCCCTGATAGAAGAGGCCCAGACTGTCTGTCCCTGTCTCAGGGTCACCTCAGTGAGGGACGCGACCTCCAGGTCCCCTCTGAGCCTCTGAACAGCCCAGCTTTGCTCCTGGAGTTCCGACACATAGGAGGGTTAGAGGAATCCAAGGAGGAGCTTTCTCCAAGAATTGGTGGTCAGCATTGGGCTACCTGGAGAGAGTGACTGCCAAGCCCCATGGCTGCACTGTCTGGGTTGGATGGGGTGGTCCTGCACTGGGTGACTCATGACCCTGAAGGTCCCCCATCCACCTCCATGTCCTGGGATCCCCCAGTCCAGACAGCCTTAGAGGCAGGCCTTCCTGAGTCACCAGGACTCTATAAAAACCACAAACCCCCAGTGGGCAGACGCAAACCAGCCAAGTGATTCAGAGCTAGGGAACCTGGGGCCAGGAAGCAGGGCTGGGAGAAAGTGAGAGGCCGGAACAACTAAAAATCCAGGGATTGGAAAGACAGACGCTGAGCACCCCCAGGCAGACGGAAACAGCAGGTGCTAAATGCCACTTTGTAGGCCAGGTGCGGAGGCTCACACCTGTAATCCCAGCATTTTGGGAGGCTGAGGCAGGAGGATCACTTGAGCCTAGGAGTTTGATACGAGCCCAGGCAACATAGTGAGACCCCATCAATACAAAAAATTTAAAAATTAGCCGGGTGTGACAGCGCGTGCCTGTAGTCCCAGCTCTTGGGATGGCTGAGGCAGGAGGATTGCTTGAACCTGGGAGTTCGAGGCTGCAGTGAGCTGTGATCACACTACTGCATTCCAACCTGGGCAACAGAGCAAGCGACCCTGTCTTAAAAAAAAAAAAAAACAAAAACTAAAAAAAAAACAAAAACAAATACCAATTCTACTTCGTGAACATCAGATACTCCCTATGCCCTCACACAATCCTCTCGTACCTTAACCACACATACCCGCTCCCCTGTTCCATTCTGAAGCTAGGGAAATCAGTGAACAGTCTGTCCCTTCGCTTTCCACCACCTCGTTCCAAAACCGGTTTGAAGTTCACTATTGAGCTCAAGGCAGGAGAGCTCCCCACTCAGCCTCCCCCACAGCAGCACAGCCTGGGCTGGGGGCCCTTGAGGACAGACCCCTGTCACAGATGCCCAGCCTTTGATCAGCACTGACACCTGCAGATGAGGAAAGATGACCAGCCAAAAGGCTTTTCCTCTCGAAGGCAAAAGCTCATATTTATAAAGCCCTAAGGGATGAGGTCCTAGAAGCAAACTTCCCCCCAGCAACTCCTACTCTCTTTTTCCAGTTGCAGCTGAAATAACTTCAGTCTCAAGTAAATTGCTTTTCATAGGGTTTCACAGCGGGTGGGGCAAGTGTTCACCCAGGAAACCCGTGGCCCCCGTGTTTACCTTCTCATTAGTAACCACACCAGCACCGCCGATGGCCCCAGCTCTGGAGCCGGGTTCTCGTCTAGTACCCCTGCCCCTCTCCTAGTGGCCACCTGTCCCTCTCCTAGTGGCCACCTGTCCCGCCCCGGGGCTGGGTGGCATTTCCTATTGTAGAAGCTGATGGGATGTGACCTGGGTGCTCACTTGGCTCTGCAACCTGTGACTGGGAGCCCGCAGGCCTGTGACCTCAGTTTCCCCATCTCAATCCTAAAAGCCTCCTCATCCTCTTTTCCCCTTTAAATGGGGCTTCCCACAGCGATAGGATTTTAGGTAGTGGGTGTCTCAGTCCCCGTAATTTGGAAGTAGAGCTAAAATGAGGTATGTGTCTGTGAGACAAAGGCAAGATGGGGTTTGGGCAGAAGGAGGGAGTGGGCACTGCTGCCTCTGAGAGGAAGGTGGTTGGTGCTACAGCCAGAGCAAGACCTAGAGAACTTGGTCTCCTGCCTCACTTCAGAGCTCTGATAGGTACACAGACCCCCTACCCCAAGACAGCAGGATGAGGCGGTGGTTTCCCTCCCACAGAGCCCCCAAAACAACGCCACAGTTATAGCTAACACCACTTCCAGCTGACTGGTAGGCCCGGGGTAACCTTCTCCCACTGGCAGGCAGCAGAAGTCTCAGGGAGGCCATGAGTGGCTCCACGTGATCACACGGGGCACTGGGTGGGACAGGTAGATGCCTGTCCCCATGGCCAGCAGCTCCGGAGCAGCTCCTCAGCTTGTGTCTTGCATCTCTTTCAGCCTCCGGGAGGAGTTCCTGGGACACAGCCATTGCTGCCCAATTCTATGGATCCCACACGACAACAAGGTAGAGAGGGCAGGGTGGGCCTAGGGTGGCTGGGGATGCCAGGAGGGGCTCCTCCTCCCTCCACTCCTGCCATCCCATGACGCGCCTCCTCTCTCACGCAGGCCACCCCAACATGGGAGGATCAATGCAGAGAATGAACCCTCCCCGAGGCATGGGGCCCATGGGTCCCGGCCCACAGGTAACCACCGCCTGTCTGTCCGTCCGTCTCCCTGGCCATCTGTGTGCACCCGCCTTCTCTCCTGTTTCCATGCTCTGTCAGTCTCCCACATCTCTCAGTTCGCAGGGGTGAGAGGAAGGGCATGGCCGCATCCCCTGCTCCTGTCCGCTTCCTGTGGCAGGCTGGCTTCACGCGCTGCCCAGGGCAGCCCCTTGCAGATGGCAGGCAGAGTTGAGGGCCCCCACCAGGGAGCTAGGAAAAAGGGGACAGCTGAGGCCTTCTAGTTGGCAGACCCTTTTGGGGTGCGGTAGCCTATCATGGGGTCTGAAGAAGGGCAGGGAGCTCCTGAACCCCAGAGCTGCCTCCCCTGGGTGAGGTAGACTTGAGATGGCTTAGGGCCACCATCGGTTGTGTCCCAGAGGCGGCGCAGATGAGTGGCCTTCCTAGCTCTGCCTGCGACTTAGCATGTGTCTGTCCTTGGATGAATCACTTTGACCTCTGTGGGCCCCAGCAGGCCTCAGTTTCCCCACCTGTTAAATGAGGACTGTGTCCGCGATTCTCTGGTGGGAGGGGGCCACGCTGGCAGGACCCCAGCACCCACTTCAGCCGGGATTCTTTGACCAGAGGGCTCCGCTGCCACAAAGGGCAGTTTATAAGCCATTGGAAGAAAGCATTTCAGGTGCCCTCACATACCTCTTACGGTCACAACAAAGTCGTTGCCCCTCGTGGCCAGCTCTGCTCCCCCAGGTAGGGGTGTCCAAGCAACAGGTGTTGGCGCTGACAGGTGTTCTGCTGTGGAACCATCTCACTGCTTACCCCCAGCCCTCTGGGT